>NC_000009.12:39403939-39555454 GCF_000001405.40 Homo sapiens | reverse complement strand
GAGGTGGAGCTTGCAGTGAGCCGAGATTGCGCCACTGCACTACAGCCTAGGCGACAAAGCAAGACTCCATCTCAAAAAAAAAAAAAAAAAAAAGGGAAAAACAAAAGAGTATATTCAAAGAATCACAAATAAAAAATAAAGGAATGATAAAATTTAGGATAGCGTTTACCTTGGGGACTAATAAATATTGGTAATGTTTAATTTATTAAGCTAGGAGATGGACACATATATTTTCATTCATAGAACTTTTTTTCCTAAATGTATGTGTATGATATATGTCACATGCATGACATATGTGCATGACATGTGATATATATGTGAACTACATATAGTTCACAAAAACTAAATGTAGATATGGTATACAATCACACAAAAGCACTTAATTTATCAATGTGTCTATATATACATTTATGCCTAACTTATGACAATAAATATACTCTCAAATACCTGGTCATCATTAAATCTAATATGTAGAATATTAAAATATGAAAGAGGATGCTGTATTTGTTATTAGTCATTTTTCTCGTCTATTTTCTTTTGTATCATTTAATAAATTAGTAGAGAACTTTCCTGCCATTCCTTTTAGTATTTTAAAATCTTTTAATTTAAAAATTATAGCTCTTAGATAATTGCCTTATATATTGTTTTTAAATTTTGTTTCCTATGGGTTGCTGTAAATCTATCCTAAGTGGCAAAGTTTTAAAAACAATATGGGTCAAAAGTGCACAAAGCTCTGAAAATGAGAAAAGAAAATGACCAAACCTTTAAGATTCCTAGCATTATTCTGCCTATCACCATAATGTTTGCTTGGAGGGAGGCAGGCTATGAACTGAACAACCTAATTTATGGCTGATGTGCTCTCTGGCCATTATGGGCAGAATGTGGGCTTCTTCACAGCAGTGGCTCTCAGCATTTCTCTTCACGTTCTATGGGCTACAGCAAGTCACATGACCAATCCCAACTCCATTGTGTCAGGGAAGTATAATCCTCTTACTTGGAGGACAGCAAGTAATTGGGAACAGTAATACAATTTGGCACACAAAACAAATCTTCAGAGAGTGTCAGGGTCAAGAGAAGCATTTGTCCAAGAAAAAGTTACTCTAAACTTGCAAAAAGATAAAAATCATAATGCTTGATTAAAAAAATACTGAATTATTTTCTAATTATTTACTTGACCCTAACCTGACAACATTTATAGGAGTGATATAAAGTCAGACTATTTATAGACTGTGATTCTAGAGGTCAGCAGCAAAATTTAGAAATTATCATGACTCTGTAGTCCAGTGGTTTACTGTCATAAAAGATATATTTTATAATGAAATAGACCACCAAGTAGAACAACAGACCACTGAAATAAACCATCAAATGACATCCTATAATTTAAAGGTATGATGAAAAATGGAAAGAGTTGTAAATGTTTCTTCTAGAGTTGTCATTTGGTGCTTCTGTTAGAAGGGCTATGGAGGAGGCCGGGCGCAGCGGCTGACGCCTGTAATCACAGCACTTTGGGAGGCTGAGGCTGGCGGATCACGAGGTCAGGAGATAGAAACCATCCTGGCTAACACGGTGAAACCCTGCCACTACTAAAAATACAAAAAAATCAGCCGGGTGTGGTGGCAGGCGCCTGTAGTCCCAGCTACTCGGGAGGCTGAGGCAGGAGAACGGCGTGAACCCGGGAGGTGGAGCTTGCAGTGAGCCAAGATCGCGCCACTGCACTCTAGCCTGGGCGACAGAGCGAGACTCCATCTCAAAAAAAAAAAGAAAAAAAAAAAAAGTTTGACACAGTTTGATCTATTTCTAACACCTGGTGGCATTTTTACAGCATAACCTTTAAAAAGTCATTCTAGAATATCCTAACAGATGTATACATCCCTCTACCTAAATTTTTGTAGATGTTATTTGCCTACATAGTGAATGACATTGTATTTCAGCGGAATTTATTATTCAACTTTTAAAAACAAATCTCCTGCATTTACATCCATTTTCCATATATCTATGTCATAAAGATAATGAATTTAATTGGACAATTTTCTTTCAAATGTGTGCAGCCTCCTTCCACTTCCAGGTCTGAAAGAGGACAGTATATTTTATAGACCACACGATTGCCAGAGTGGAAACTGGAGTGAGTGGAAGATTCCACATAGTTTTACTTGTGATACTCTAGAGACTAGTGGTGAGGTGTCTTGGAGATGGCATAATAATACAAATAACTAAATATTACTGAGTTGTTACTGTATATGGCACTATGTTAAAGGTTTCATAGGCATCACTCCTCATCACAACAATAATAGCCCACCTCGGCCTCCCAAAGTGTCTGTCCCTTCTTTATTCACCAGCCACAATGACACACAGAACATAGTAGGAAGAAAATAGTTTATATTTATTCCTAAGAATATAAACTTCTGTTACCATTCTAAATTTCCAGAAAAACTTATTGTGAGTGCTAAACTAATATCATCCTGACCTAAGGCAAATTGTCAGTTCCTAAGGGTGAGATTTATAGGAGAAAACCATGTCTACGCTTGAGGCAGAGTTTTAGTAGAGATACAATAGCCAGTTGCTATTATTTCAAAGTTTGTCTGTCCCTAAATATTGCCTGCTTAGGTCTGACTATGCTAGGATTAGTGATCATCTGCTCTGAATTAAAGGTTTAGATGCGCTCTTCCCAGGATAAAATTAAGTTTGGGGACTTTCTCTTTTCCTGGGAGCAAAAACCTCAGGAACTAAGTGTGCCATATGCTGGAAGATGGAAATATTCCAACAGCCAGAAGTAGAGGGAAGATAAAAATGGCTTCCTAAAGCAAGGCAAATCAGCGACAGCCAGTCCTGTGGCCACCACTAATCACTTGTAAATGAATGCTGCGATGTGTTTCAAAAGCCCTCATTCTGACTCTGCCTGATCTGCTACTGAAATGTTAATTATATGCCTAATCTTCTCTTGCAAGCAAAGGCAGCAGAGTTGCTAAAGATCATAGCAGGTAAAAGCCTTCAAGGAGAGGTAAGGAGTAAATGGAGCTGGGAGGGAATGGTGTCTCTCAGGACAGAGCCTGGCTCATTGAAAGGGCATAGTCCTACCCTATAAGGGATGCCTCCCAGTGTGACCAGGTCTTCTATGATTTCTTTTTATGAGAAACCAGAAATCTGATTATTTTCATGAGAAATTGGAGTTTTACAAATTAGCAAAACTGTGCTGTGCTGGGAAAATAGAATAAACCTGAAGGCCAGAGGTGTGCTGGGACAGTCACTTACAGAACCAGAGCAAATACTTAGATAGAGCAATGATGTGTTTTAATAAAAACAGGGACTACTGTGCTTTGTAAATGTCTTTATGCCTTCTAAACGTCCTTTCTCCTGAAGTCTATAACGTGACATGGGATAGCAAAGTATTTTTTGGCATGAACCATTGCATTGAATATCTTAACCCATTTGTGTTGCTATTAAAAAAAACTCTTGAGACTAAAAAATGTATTAAAAAAAGAGGTTTATTTGGCTCATGATTCTGCAGCCCATACAGGAAGAATGGCACCAGCATCTGCTCAGCTTCTGGTGAATTTCTCATGTTGCTTCCACACATGGCGGAAGGCAAAGGGAAGCCAGCATGTAGTGAGATCACATAGTGAGAAAAGAGGAAAGAGGGGGGAGGGGGTGCTAGGCTCTTTGTAACAACTAGCTTTCTTGGGAACTAACAGAGAGCTCATTCATCCCCTCTCCCCAGGGAGGGCAACAATCTTTTCATGAGGGATCTGCTCCCAAGACCCTAACACCTCCCATTAGGCCCCACCTCCAACACAGGGGTTCAAATTTCAACATGAGGTTTAGGAGACAAACATCCAGGCTATGTCATTGGATCCTTAGTAGGCTGAAGTAATGTGTTAAAAATAAGTTGTAAATAATTATATGCAAAAACACATAGCATTTTGGAAACTTTGCAAGATAATGAAAATATTTATCTGGATTTTAACTTAATTCACTCCATATTCTACACAAACATATTTTAAAAAAAAATACTATATTTGAGACATTAATATATGTTAGATAACCAATTTACATCCTCAAGAGCTAGGAAAGTATTAAGTTGCCCTTTCTTAATAAAAACAAAATTTATGATGTTAACTGTTTTTTGTTTATTTGTTTGTTTTATTGAGACAGAGTCTTGCCCTGTTGCCCAGGCTGTAGTGATCATGGCTCACTGCAGCCTTGACCTCCTGGGCTCAAGTGATTCTTCCACCTCAGTCTTTGGAGTAGCTGGGATTACAGGCTCATGCCACCATATCTGGTTATTTTTTGTAGAAGCTGTGTTTCACCATGTTGCCCAGGCTGGTCTCAAACTCCTGGGTTCAAGCAATCTGCCTGCCTTGATCTTCCAAAGTGCTGGGATTTTAGGTGTGAGCCACTGTGCCTGGCCTATGACGATAACTTTTTAAAAGACAAAATTAGAACAAATTTAGTTATAGATGTAATTGGCTTCTATTTGTAAGTCATGAATCAGGGCAGCCTGCATTCTACAAAATAGGATGAGAGCTTTCACAGACAATGGAAGAACAGTAGCTCCTGTAAAATGAGAACAATTAAACAAAACAATAGACAAAAAGCTGATTGGTTAAGATCAGGGTTAATCCAGGTTAATTTGTTGTAAGGGTTAAAGCAGAGAAAAGTTCCTTTTTGCACTGACTCAGGTAGACCGGAATTTCCTGTCTTGAGGAAAAACTGCTCTGTTCTGGGACCTGTGTACTTTCTTAAAGTTTCAGTTTGATTATGTGGTTTAACATAGCACATGAATAAAAATGCGATTAATTTAAAAGAGTTATTATAATAAATTTTGATAAGTTTGCTCAAAGTCATTATCTCAAATTTAATAATCAAATTATCTCAAATTTAATTAATTGCAGTATGTGTCATTTATTTCAAAAGTGAAATAAAAACCTGTTCCACAAATCACAGTTTAGTTTATTTTCAAATTCAAACTTTACTTGCTTCACTGAATCTAGCAAAAGTAAATGTTTCAAAATAATGCAAAAAAAAGAGGTTTGTAACGTTGGTAAGAAAATATTTGCTGAGCAAGTAATCAGATGTTTATTGTCTTACCTATGTCATTTCTTATATATTTACATTCACATTGATTTGTATTAGCTATCAAATTAATCATGTTAAAAAAAAGTGGTACCATAATGAATTGTGTTTGATGTTGAAACTAATATTTAAAGATTTAAAAATTATGAGAGAGTATTCTGTGTTATCTCAGAATACTGGTAACGTCTTAAAGATTTCTGGCTACAAAGTAGTTTTACAAGACATTAGTTTTATGGGCACTGCATGCATTGCATTGATCAAAGCAGCATTGCATTGGTATTTAACACTAGGCCATGACTGAAAGGGCTTCAGAAGACATCATGATGAACTACATACAGAGTAATGGCAAGTTTACTATAAAATTAACATTCTCAGTTGTCACAAGAAATCTGACAATCACTAAAATGGCAAGCACTGTGTTCTATTTGTGTCCTTTTCAGACATGATTGATAAGAATTTGTTACCTTATTAGCATGTCATAAGTAGACAGCAAAGTATGTTTTAAATTCGAAAATTATTATTTTCTGCTCACGTTCTACTTTCAGCAATGTACACAGTGATAGTAATGAAAGCAGCCATCAGAATAGTCTATTTTCTTCATAGTTAGCTGCCAAATACTTCTTTTTTTCTATCCAGATCATACTTGTATTGCTTTTGTGCCTTTGAGCATAGTCATAAATTAGTACACAGAGGAAGCAGGGCAGTGACAGCTATACATTTTTCTATAGAAGATCAGCTATTAAATCAAGAGCCAAGAGAACCACCTCAGCCTGGACACTGAGAACCGAAGCCACACCTTCCCACTGATATTAACATGACTTTGTTATTCTATTGTTCCATTAGTATTACTTTTCAAGGACTGTCCTACCTAAAGAATGGTTTGATTTTTCATTATAGGAACTTCCCAAATGCTTTATCAACCTTCAGGGGAAGTCATAGACCGAGTTTACAGCTTGAGTCTTTGAATCCTTCCCCACAAATCCTCACCTCACTATTTTCTCTAAGCCCAGACTGTTGTATCATGATTCTCACACAATTCTAATCAAATCCTCTCCTTCAGAGACCCATCTTAAACCAAACTTGCAATTCTCAATAAATTCTGATCTCCCCTTCTCTCCTCTGAGATGCTGATAGAAATTTACAAAGGCTGTACTCTCTCCCTTGCCAGTGTATTAGTTTTCTATTGCTGCTGTAACAAATTACCACAAACAGTGTTGTAAACAATCCAGACTTGTTATCCTACAGTCCTCTTGGTCAGACATTCAATGTGGGTCTCACTGACCTAAAATCCAGGCATCAGCAGGGTAGAGGTTCCTCCTGCAGGCTCTGGGCTCCTGTGTCTGACTTTTCCAGCATCTAGAGGCTGCCTGCTGTCCTCAGCCCCTGGCCCCTTCCTCCATCTTCACAGTCAGCAATGATAGGCTGGGAGGCCTTCTCACGCTGCCATCTCTTTGGTTCTTTCTCTTCTGCCCCCCTCTTCCACTTTTAAGAACTTGTGATTAGCCCCATCTGGATAATCCAGGATAATCTGCCTATTTCAAAGTGAGTTAACAACTTTAATTCCAAATGTGGTCTTAATTTCCATTTTTCATGTAAGTTCACATGTTCACATATTCCAGAGATGAGTGTGTGGACATCTTTGGGAGGTCAATTATTTTCCTGCCACATAGGTAAGCAATAAACTTCGCAATAAGCCAGGTGCTGTGGCTCATGCCTATAATCCCAGCACTTTGGGAGGCTGAGGCGGGTGGATCACCTGAGGTCAGGAGTTCAAGACTAGCCTGGCCAACATGGTGAAACCTCACCTCTACTAAAAATACAAAAAATTAGTTCGGCATGATGTCACATGCCTGTAATCCCAGCTACTCATGAGGCTGAGACAGGAGAATCGCTTGAACCTGGGAGGCAGAGGTTGCAGTGAGCCGAGACTGCGCCACTGCGCTCCAGCCTAGGCGACAAGAGCGAAACTTCATCTCAAAAAAACAAAAAAACTTTGCAATAAATTAGCAATCAACTTTGTCTCATCAACATGTTATGTTGGTGATAATTGGGGATACAGCTTTGACAAGCAATTAGCACAAACATGACCTACTTGCAGAAGCTTGTCATAGCTATTATTCTAAATATGGTAATAGATGACTGTAATAATCCAAGCCAAGAATTATGACATTTTAAATCCACACACACTCTTACTCCTGAAATATCCTCAAATGGACATTAACATACAAATATTTTAATTAGATTCTTTTAAATTCTTAAGATTATGTGATATAACCCAAAAGTGGGGCTGAAATGTCAGGTGACAATAACACCCAAATGGAGGTTCCACTCAGCACTTCCAGGGACACCCCCCCCAACATATATACACTCTTTACAGAAACATATTTGGAAATGAATTCATTATTCATAAGTAGTTGTGAATAGTTAGAAAATAGATTTTACATTTCACATTCAATAAAACTCCCACAGAATGTCAATTCTCATTATTCGTGGATTTTGTATTTTCAAATCCACCTTCTTGCTAAAATGTATTTGTATTTGCAAATTCACCCACCTGCTAAAATTTATTACTAGCCCCAAAATTCACACTCACAGCACCTTTGTTGTCATACACAGACTGGCCAAAAATTTCATTCTCCCAGCTTGCACATTCCCAGCTGATGTTGAACAAAACCGTGTTCTGCCTTCTTGTTTCAACTCTCATACTAAAATCAAGTGTCCTTTTCACAATCTGTTTAGTGTCACGGTTTTCATATTTTTATGCTTTTTTGGTGATTTTGATGTTTACAATGGCCCCCAAACATAGTGCTAAAGTGCTCTCAAAGCACAAAAAGACCGTGATGTGCATTATGGAGGCACATGTGACATAAACTTTGTTCAGATATGACCTATAGTGCCATTGGCTATAATCTCAATGCTGATGAATAAATTTTATATGTTAAATAAGGTGTCTTTAAACAGAAACACATATAAAACAAGATTATGTCTTGATCATTTGATGAAAATGTTGCAGCCAGAGGCTCACAGAAACTTCCCCTTACATTTTCCCAAGAAGCAACAATTTAATACTTGCTAATGTTGGAGCTCTGAAAACCACATCCTCAAAAATGGCACTTTGACATGTTGAGTGCTTTGAATTAAATAAAATTGAAAGGCCTCAGAAATAAGCCTCAGGACCAACACTCTGTCTAACACCATCAGCCCCCCCAACCCCACCCTACTGTATTAGTCTGTTCTCATGCTGCTGATAAAGACATACCCAAGACTGAGTAATTGATAAAGAAAAAGAGGTTTAATGGACTCACAGTTCCACATGGCCGGCGAGGCCTCACAATCACAGTGGAAGGCAAAAGGCACACCTTACATGGCAGCAAACAAGAAAGAATGAGAACCAAGTGAAAGAGGTTTCCCCTTATAAAAACATCAGCTCTCATGAGACTTATTCTGTTCCAGGAGAACAATATGGGGGTATGGGGGGAACAGCCTCCATGACTCAATTATTTCCTACTGGGTCCTTCCCACAACATGTGGGAATTATGGGAGCTACAATTCAAGATGAGATTTGTGTGGGGACGTAGCCAAACCATATCACCTACCATCCTCTTTCTTTCCTGAAGCAAGGAAGCAAGAAAGGAGAGGCTTTTGCTGAAGTTTCCTTATCTGATTAAGTCTGACCAAGGGAGGTTTCTCCAGAAGAAATGCAGTGTTTTTGTTTGTTTGTTTGTTTGTTTTAATTTAGCCCAGTCAAATTGACATATACAAATGCAGGGTTTTTTTGTTTGTTTGTTTTTGTTTTTTGAGACGGAATCTCGCTCTGTCACCCAGGCTGGAGTGCAGTGGCGTGATCTTGGCTCACTGCAACCTTTGCCTCCTGGATTCAAGCAATTCTCCTGCCTCAGCCTCCCAAGTAGCTGGGATTACAGGCAGGTGCCACCATGCCTGGCTAAGTTTTTTGTATTTTTAGTAGAGACAAGGTTTCACCATATTGGCCAGGCTGGCCTCGAACTCCTGACCTTGTGATCCACCCACCTCGACCTCCCAAAGTGCTGGGATTACAGGCATGAGCCACTGTGCCCGGCCTGTTTTTTTTGTTTTTTTTTTTTTGAGACGGAGTCTCGCTCTGTCACCCAGGCTGGAGTGCAGTGGCCCAATCTCAGCTCACTGCAAGCTCCACCTCCCAGGTTCACGCCATTCTTCTGCCTCAGCCTCCCGAGTAGCTAGGATTACAGGTGCCCGCCACCACGCCTGGCTAATTTTTTGGTATTTTTTAGTGGAGACGGGGTTTTACCATGTTAGCCAGGATGGTCTCGATCTCCTGACCTCGTGATCCACCCTCCTCGGCCTTCCCAGAGTGCTGGGATTACAGGCGTGAGCCACTGCACCGGGCCAGAAATGCAGATGTTTTAAAACTCCCTCTCTACAGATCTTATCATATAACCAGGAAAGAGTAACCACCAGAGAGGAGAAAATAAGTCATTACCATGTCCAGACAGACTTTTCATCTATCCTTCTGAGGGCAGCTCAGAGAGATTATGGGAAAGATTTTATCTGCTTAATGACAACCTTTGTTTACAATGAAGTTCTGGTCTCACCTTTCCATAATTTGTTTGTACCTCCCCCAGAGCTCAGACAAACTTTGTACCAGGCCAATTGTCTTTTCTTTGAGCTCATTCATTTTCCCTAAAATAATTTACTTTCCCTCTAGATGTGCCCACAGTCCCCCTTTTCCCTGTCCCCTGTGAATAGGATATTTAAGAATTAACCAACTAGAGGGCATTTAAGGCTTAACCAAAGCTCTTCTTTGAGTCTCATATTTTTAGGACTCCCATCTCCATGTGCATATTAATAAATTGTGTGCATTTTTCCCTTGTTAATCTGTCTATTGTCAGCTCATTTCAGCAGTGAACTATCAGAGGGCAGAGGGGAAGATTTCTCTCTGCCCCTACAGTAATTTGATATTTACAGAAACTTTATAGAACATAACTACTGTGAATAATGAGAATCAACTGTATATGTCACCTTTGAATACCTCTCTTCTCTCTTCACTGCATTCCTTTGGCACAGAGATGGAGCCAAACTCTAGTGGCTAGGGAAGTAAATAAAAGACTGGGTCTGAGTCACCTGTTTCCCTAAAGGTAGCATCACCCTCTGAAGGTGCCCCTTACAGGCCTCTCTGGGAAGGGTTTCACAATCTCCTCCCACACTTTACAGTTGGCAAATTATGGAGCCAAGGGCCAAATCCAGTGCCCATTTGGGCAACAAGCTAAGAATGTTTTTTACATTAATGACAGGCTGGGGAAAAAAAAAAACAGCAAAGAAAATAATATGACCTAAAACTGTATGTGACACATAAAGCCTAAATATTTACTATCTGGGCCTTTACAGAAAAAGCTTGCTGACCCCTTCTTTGCAGCCTAGCAAAGATATACTAGATAGCAAATATCTAGTGTTTGGGAAATAATTTAAAACAAAACCTGTTCAGGAAACCTCTCCACAAAAGTAGAATAGATGTTGTTGAATAAGCACTAAGGCTCACTTCAATGTGCATCACAAGAAATCTGCCAAAGAGATTGAAAAACAGACAGAAATCTCACCCTTTCATGTGGCCAAGTAGGTAAAACCCTCACATACACGTTCTCAAGATCGATGATAAGTAGTTTGCAAGTTAGTAAAAGGACTTGACAGCACCACTTGCCACATAGAATTCATCCCAGATTCACTGGGTAATTGAAATTGGCCATGGGTGCTTGCTAATTACCTTTATCGAAAGGAAAAACAAATTCTCATATCTTTATACCAGGAGGTAGTTTTGCAATGTGGAGCCCGACGCCTAGGTAACATTAGGTTCCTACCCTCCCATGAAAATGTCAATAAAAAGAGTCCAACTTTGTAACACATTTGTAGAAATTTATTCTGAGCCAAATATGAGTGACCATGGCCCATGACACAGCCCTCAGGAGATCCCGAGAACATGTGTCCAAGGTGGTTGCAGCACAGCCTAGTTTTATACATTTCAGGGAGACATGAGACATCAATCAAATACATTTAAGATATAAGTTGGTTCAGTCCAGAAAAGTGGGACAACTCAAAGCAAGGGGGTGTCCAGGTTATAGGTAGAATGAAAAATTTCGGATTGGCAATTGCTTGAAAGAGTTATTATCATAGAAAACAATGTCTGGGTTATGATAAGAGGTTGCAGAGACCAAAGTTTTATCATGAAGATGAAGCCTCCATTTCGCAGGCTTCAGAGAAAATAGATTGTACAGGTTTCTTCTCAGACCTAAGGCTTGTGTTGATATTAAATGGTGATTGGTTTTTCCTGAATTCCAAGAGGAAAGAGGGCATAATGAGGCATATCTGACCCTCCCTCCCCATTGTTGTGGGACTTTTCCTTAGTTCAGCTAAAGATGCAGTCTTTGTCCCATGGCCACGAAAATTTAGGCTTGCAGACGAGTTGAAGGGTGAGTAAAGCAGGGTTTTATTGGGTGAAAAGGAAAAAAAAAGGGGGAACAGGGACCCTCTGCAAAGTCAGAGTCTCTGCTGGTGTGCTTCCTGCCTTGCAGATTGAATCCCAGTTTCCACACAGGAAGAGGTGGGACCAGGCTCCTCCCTCTGCAAACAGTGCAAACTTCTGTGGCTCCACCCCAAGGTGCATTCCTTCCAGTGTGGGCTGGTTGCAGTTTCACTGGGGACCCTCTCCCACCTGGCTGTCTCACCATCATGGCCTAAACCAGTCTTTCAGGTTAAATTTAGGGTGCCCTGGCAGAGGAGGGGTCCATTCAGATGTTTGTGAGGGGTGGAGGGGGTGGCTATGAGTTTTATTTTTGGTTTATAAAGATGAGGGGATGAGGTACAATCCTCCTTGGTGATTCTATCTCAGAGATAGTTCCAGACCCTTGAGAAACACATTCCTACATTGTAAAACCTGCAAGAGACTTATCTTTTTTCTTTAAAAAATTGCTATATCCCTAAGAAGCAGAGAAAGAATTTATGTTTCTGAAAGAAAATGTTCTGAGGAAATGGTGGTGGTGGTGGTGGAGATCTCTTTCCCTTTTTCCATCAGGGAGAATTATTATTTTTTTCCTATGTTCCATTTGTATTTACTGTTACACTAGTTAACTAAGTATCTAGCCAAAAGGAACTATAATTTGAGAAGGTGGTTCCCATGACTTCTCCTCTTTCTTTTCTTTCAGACTTCTGCTTCCTCAGAAATGCCCTCATTTTGTCCCAAGGTACTCAGATCTGTCACTCTACTTGAATCCAATCAGCAAAACAACAGCTCTGCAGTTAGCTGACTTGCTTCTAACCTCCATCATCTAAAGTAGAATATTAACCTCTTATATCGTTATTCAAAATTGTCACCTGGGGTTTCAGCTCCTATTCTAACAGGTCAATAGAAGCATTTCCTGAAGAGAAACAGGAGTGTGTGTGTTTTGGGAGTATGGAAGATATTTCTACTAAGAAAAGGAGTTTTTCTCCACAGTGTTAACATTAGAAATCTAGCACCTATCATTTCACAAATTGAATACCTGAGGCTTAGGGAGGTGAAGTGACTTCCTTGAAGGAGACAAGTAGCAAATGTGGAGGTTCATGTCTGCAGCCTATAGAACCCAGGAACCCTCTTTCCACTATGCCAGACTAACCTGGGAACCCAATTAGCTGCCATCAAAAGTATAAGAATTCTTTTTATTTGCCTATTATCTCTCATGATAAGTGAATCAATCACTTACTGAGCACAATTCCTACAAAGTGCAAAATGACCAAAGTCCCCAGAGTAGCTTCCTCTACATCGTGAGCTGCAACTCCAGTAAAAGAGGCTGGCAACTCTCAAAGACAAAATGCACTGGACTGTGGAGCATATGATTTCATTAGGACTATTTGTAATAGAGAGAACATGGCCAGATCTCAGCAGGTTGTGACTGTTCAACTGGTGGTATAATTTACTATCAAAATTATTCTGCAATCGGGGGGGTCTTAGTCAACTCAGCAGGAAATGTTTATCTTAGGATTTTGTTAGTTTGGAGGGACAAACAGTTCTAATCTTAGCTAATTAATAATGAGACAAAGAATGGGTGGTTGGAGGATCTGTGTTTTGCCTTGTCAGCAGACTTAGGCCAAAGGGGAAAGGTCTGTGTTTGATCTTGTCAACAGCAATGTGCTAATTGTGACTCCTAATGGGGATGGAGCTGGGTGTGTGCTTGGACATGGCATTCCATATGTGCCCAGGGCATGCTGTCTTTTTAAGAGAAAATAAGAATCTGACCAGGCACGGTGGCTCATGCCTGTAATCCCAGCACTCTGGGAGGCCGAGGTGGGCAGATCACGAAGTCAGGAGATTGAGACCATCCTGGCTAACATGGTGAAACCCTGTCTCTACTAAAAATACAAAAAAATTAGCCAGGCGTGGTGGCGGGTGCCTGTAGTCCCAGCTACTCGGGAGGCTGAGGCAGAAGAATGGTGTGAACCCAGGAGGCAGAGCTTGCAGTGAGCCAAGATCGCGCCACTGCACTCCAGCCTGGGCAACAGAGTGAGACTCTATCTCAAAAAAAAAAAAAAAAAAAAAAAAGAGAGAAAATAAGAATTTAATTTCTTCAGGGATCCTGAGTATCTCTCATTACCTAAAGTGTTCATTTATTACCAAATGATTAACTTTCTATTTATGTGTGAGGTTTGTGGGAGACCATAGAGAAGTTTTGTTTAAAACATCTGTGTATTTCTTTACATAATTCATTTATTATATCCCTTGTTGAATGTTCTGGCTGAGAAAGATTTAATTTAAGCTTTCCATCAATGAGAACAAAGATGAGGCTTGCTGAAATATGTTGATGTTCACTGGACAGCAAATATCCTGCTCTGTTCTATATACAAAGTTGAAAAGTGATGGAAACCTCATCCTCATCCTCAGGGCTCAGAAAAGTCACAAGGTCTTTGACTTTGAAGAGTGGAACAAGAGGGCAACATGTTTTCTAGTAAGTAAAGTAAGTGAGGCTATGGAGTAGGTTTCAGAGTGGCACTTTCAATCTTACTCGGACATGTCAAAGTCTTTACAAAGGCTTCTTCTAGACCTGTAAGCCTAGAATTAATATAAACGCTCACCTAGGTCAAATTCAATGATATTTATCTTAAAGGACTTTCAAATCTAAGTGGGTCTCAATAAGGCAAACCCTTCTGAGTCTTTTATTTCCCTAAGCATAAAATTCTATCTTCTCTACCTTCTGTACTTCTCAGCATTAGCAAAGGAATCTCATGATAATTGAATTCAATAGTAGTTTATCTGATGCCAACTATTTTCCCGTCTCTATGCTGGGCCCTGGGTACACAACAATGAAAACAATGTCCTCCTCTCCACTACCCAGGCTGCCTTCTCCTCTAAATTGAACAATTGTCTGTGATTCACCAACAACAAGAACTTTTCTTTACCTACCTACCTAAAATATATAAACACAATTGACAACTTTAGGCATGTTCTTTCAATTGGAGGACAATTACAAATAGTTGTCCTTTGTATTGATGAAAAGGCTAGTGGCAAGGTTGGTTGTGGCCTGGGCAGCAGGCTAGATGGGCCTCTCAGGAGGACTTGCTAGGTTGCAGTGCCCCAGAGCAATTTATGACATAAAATCTGTAATATTTGAGAGATAATTGTCACATCTTATAATCAAGATCAAATAACTGGGTTCTCCTTTTGTCTGCAAATGATGATTGTGCTTGCCCACAGTGAAGCCGACCTGCGTGTCAAGGAGCTCGATGAGGATGGAATCCCAGTGCTGGCTGCCAGGGTGAGGGTCATTTTGGTTGCAGGCGAGAGTGATAGAATGTTACCAAAAAGAGAGGAAAAACAAACTTTCAATTATGACAAGTGCAAAAAAACTTTTTATTTTGAGGTTTAGCATTTCTCAAAATAATTACAGTTACATGCTTCCATACTACATACTTCTCTCTCAAAGATTAGTTGGTTGGATTTATCTAGGGCTTGAACACAATATCCTATCAACCTTGTAATCCTTTACATATCATTTATATTGCTTTTACTCATTTAGCTCAGTTTCCATTGAAATGTTACCTTTGCTCATTATTGTTACCTCTGAATGTCCTGTCCTTGTTTTTATGAGAACGGTGTCTAGCTATGTTGTTACATTAGAACTATATAAAGAGCATTAAAAGATGTACTTATTTCACAAATTGTCAAAATATAAACAAAATATAAAGCAAAAGACAATAGAGATATATAAACATAGCCCTTAAGAGCTGTAGATACACTCTTTTTTTGCCAAAGATTTCTATTTTTTATTGTAGATTTGGAGCGGGGGTACATGTGCAGGTTTGCTACAAGGATGTATTGCGTTATGCTGAGGTTTGGGTTTCAACTGAACCCATCACCCAAATAGTGAACATAGTACCCGATAGGTAGTTTTTCACCCTTTGCCCCTTCCCTCTTTTCTGTCCTTCAGATTCTCCAGAATCTATTGTTCTCATCTTTGTGTACATGTGTACCTAATGTTTAGCTTCCACTTGTAGGTAAGAACATGTGATATAAATATACTCTTAAATTGTTCAAAGATAACGAATGCATCAAAAATATTTCCAAATGCCTTGCCTGAGAGTTTTATCTGAGTGAAAAGAGTTTTCCTTTTATTAATCCCAGGTTGATATGAGCTCCACTTTGTTCTCTGTGGAGTAAAATCCTATCTCTCTGAGGTTTTTGTTTTTAACAATTCTCATTGATTTTTATTGTACATATAAAAATGAAATCATTTAAGAAGATTCATAATGAAAAGATATCTGTAGGGTAAACCCAGAAAGGGTTCAAGCTTTATGACAGCAAAGGAAACAATTAACAGATTGAAAAGGCAACCTATAAAATAGGAGAAAATATTTGCAAACTATTTATCTAATAAGGTGTTAATATCCAACATATATAAGGAAACCCTACAACTGAATAGCCAGAAACAAATACCCAGATTTTTAAAAGGTGTACAGTACTTGGATTGACATTTCTCTAAAAGAATATCCGAGTAGCCAACACACATATGAAAAATGCTCAATGTCACTAATCAGAGAAATGCCAATCAAAACCATAATGAGATATCACTCCCCACTGGTTGTCAAAACAACAACAAAAAGGTAACAAGTGTTAGCAAAGATGTGGAGAAATTGGAATCCTTGTACTCTATTGGGAGTGTAAAATGGTGCAGCCACTGTAGAAAACAGTATGGAGGCTCCTCAAAAACATTAAAAATAGAACTATCGTATGATCCAGCAATCCCACACTTGGTATTTATTCAAAAAATTAAGATCTTGAAGACATATTCGAACTCTCATGTTCATTGCAGCAGTACTCACGATAGCCAGGATGTAGAAGCCGCATAAAGACCCACCGACATATGAATAGATAAGGAAAATGTGGCATCTACTTACAACAAAATATTATTGTCTGAAATGAAATCCTTCCATATGTGGCAACATGGATGAACCTTGATGACGTTATGCTAAGCGAAATAAGCCAAAAGGAAAATACAGTGTGAGTCCGTTATTATATGTCCAATATAAAATAACCCCATTCACAGAAGCACAAAGTGCAGTGGGTTACCAGGGGCTGGGAGAAGTGGAAAATAGGGAGTTACTTTTAACAAGTATAAAGCTTCAGGTATGCAAGATGAATAAGTCCTAGAGATCTGCTATGTACAACATTGTGCCTGTAGTTAAGAACACTGTGTTGTATTCCTAAAAATTTAAGAGGGTAGCTCTCATGCTGTTTTTATCCCAGTTTTTAAAAATTAGATTGCATGGAAAAGAAGATCCTTGCACATGGACTTTTCCTCTTTCCATAATTTCAAATTGCAAGCAAATTAATCTGGGATGATGACTTATATTTCTCCTCAACTATAATTTTACTTCTGCCTCAGGAGGATCTCCTATGAATTTCTGATAACCTAGTTTTCCTGTGCTTCTCCACTCACAGGTCGTCCTAAAATCCTAGTTAATTTACATGCTTGAAATTGCTTGCATGGTTTTTAAATTTCAAATAAATAATACCTTTGATTGGACTCATGGGCTTCTGATCAAACCCATAGACTTTCTTTCATCAAAACTAAACACTTCAGTAGATCCTAGAAAAACAGTGAAAACTATCCAAGTATAAATATGATGCTGAATAAGGTGTTTAAAATATATGAAGCTTTATACATACACATACATTTTTAGTATGAGGGTATCTCTGGCCTATTCACTTAAGGAAAAACATACCACCAGAAATGGAATTCCCTTTCAGTATCAGAGGTTAATATGTTAAATCCCATTGTTAGCTAACATTTTTCTAAAATACACCAACTAGAAGTTTGTCTTATACCCTACTCTTTACTGCTCCTATCTTACACGTATCATTATGAAAACAAATAAATGTCCATTTTGTTTCCTTTTTTAAAAACATATGATAATCAAAACATTTGGTCAACGTCTACTCCATCTTTTTGTTTATTTAAAGACAACTTTTATGAAATGATCATATTGGAAGTTATGATATCCTTCAGCTAGTTGCAAAGACTAAAGAAAATATGCTACTCAAGGTAAATGATTTATAACCCCTGAGCAGAGTCACAGTCTCTCTCTCTCTCTCTGTCTCTCTCTCTCTCTCTCACACACACACACACACACACACACACACACATTTTAGAATCTTCAAAAACCACTTCCAATACAAACTAGGTATCTGAAGTAAAGAGATACTCATTTTGGCTGAATAAAAGGCAAATTCATTTTGTGTTTTTCAACTTATTTTTAGAGAAAGCTTTGAAATGACATTACAAGTCATGTCTTTTGCAGCCCTGTCATAACCATGTCACTGTACTTTCAGCTTCTCAATTCCTTGGCAGGTCACATGCATTGTCATGTTGAATATCAGTATTTTAAAAGAATAGCTGTCAACATCAGTGGCATCCTGAAAAAGATGTACAAAGAAGCTCATATTACCCAGAAAAATCTCACATTGTCTTTCATACTTCAGAAATAAAAAGGGAAAAGGAAAGGTAATTGTCCTTTAAACATACATTTATATAGATGCCAGAGAAACCAAATAAAATAGGAAGCTATTTTTCAACTGACATGTTCTAAGTCAATATAATGGCATTACATATTTTCTCAATTTGTTTAATTTGATTTTAAAAGTCACAAACATTTGAATCTACGGGTATGAATTTCATTCACATTATATATAATGTAAAATATTTACTTCCATGATTTAAAAAATCTTGTCTATTTTGTGTAGTTTTCTTTTGAAAATTTAATGTGTTTTCTCACATCTTGTTAATGTACTTCTAAAAATTCATTTACCGAGTACACAATGAGTAAGCATCAAATTACATCTAAATAATCTGTTGATTGGACAGTTTCTCCTCATACACTACAGAACAATTAGGCACAATAGAAAAAAATCTCTATGTCAAATATAAGTGATTTTTAAAAGTGATTATTAATCATAATAACATAAGAACAATTGGAGCAGGGCCTTCAATATTGTCACATTTATGACAGTACAGTTATCTTTGTGTTACAAGTATCTTAAATAAGAATAGTAAGGTTTTATTTTATATGAGAACTATTTTTACAATTTAGCTAATTATAAAAAGTTTGCTTTGAGATATAGTCTAGGTTATTTTGGTATGTTCTTTTCTCTTTTTCATCTTGGCTAGTATTACTGTTAGATTGTAATAGCAATATTTATCCTCCATGGCATATAACATCTGCCATTTCAGTCTTCCGAAGTGATGTTGTTGGGGTTCAGAACACAATACTCCAACAGATGGCACCTTGGCCTGCTGAATACTTTGAACTAAAGGAGACTGGAGGCTTCAGAATCAAGGGCAAGGTCGCTGACCTTCTCCTGCCCTCCTGTCTCCCTCCCCTCTCATTACTCTGAAGCTGAAACCAGAATTCCTTTTCCCCAAGGCAAGTCACAGAAACTAGAGCCCCTCTTCCCCAAAGCAAGTCATAAAACCTAGAAAAGTCATTCTTTTCCTTCTCCCTTGAAGACTGTGTGTCCCACACCAGGAGAAATAAATGCAGCTTAGAGGCCAGGAAGACAGGTCTTGCTGGGTTCTTTCTCAGCCTATTACCATGGGATCATTCCTTTTTGTCCAATCACATTTCCACATCGCTGTCCCTTCTTCATGAAGCCTACCTATAAAAATAGATGATTTCCCTGGGTCTTTGGTTCTTCATTTTTGAAGGCTCTTCTGACATGTAAAACTTTGATTAAATTGATTTGCTATACTTTTCTTTAAACTGCCTTTTGTTATAGGAGTACTGGTTGTGACCTTTCTGATGGGGAACTTTGGAAAGGTATCACCCCTTTCTGCCCTTACTGTATAAAGAGTAAACAGGTAGTTGAGACACAGAACAATATCATAAAATTTCTTTTGTCCTTTAGACAAGGCCTTGACTTTTTCTCCATTGAGATTTTGATCGACTGCAAATAAAAATGGAAACTTATTTCATATATTTTAACATAAGACTATCCAACCATTTCTAGACTAAAAGCAGCGATCATGAAGCAGATTCTGCTAATCGGCTGTTTCTATTTCATTAGAATTTTTTGCATGGTTAACTGAGATTGTAACTGTAATTTTATTTTTTGTATTTAATCTTTTAAAAGTAATTTAGCTTTAATGTTGTACTTATTTCATAAAATGAATTAGAAAGCTTTTATCAGTTTTCAATTCTTCGGAATAGTATAGACTGCACTGGAATTTACTTCTCTTTAAAGGAGCGATACAATTCTCTTAGAAAGTAGTGGCCACCTAATATTCTGAAGGACTGACATTTTTCTTTGTCTTTTGCATGGAAGTCAGTCAATTTAGACTTTTCTAATTTTTATAGGATTCATTTTGTTAAATTATATTTTCTTGGAAAATTATATACTTTATTAAGATTATCAAACTAATTTGAATAACTAAGCTAAATAGATTCTTACAATTCTTTTAATTTCCTCATTAGCTCTTCTTTTTTCTGTTTTTGTTTTGTTTTGTTTTGTTTGTTTGTTTGTTTGTTTGTTTTGAGATGGAGTCTCCCTCTTGTCACCCAGGCTGGAGTACCGTGGCCCTATCTTGGCTCACTGCAACCTCCACCTCCTGGGTTCAAGCGACTCTCCTGCCTCAGCCTTCGGAGTAGCTGGAATTACAGGCACCCGCCACCACGCCTAGCTAATTTTTGTATTTTTAGTAGAGATGGGGTTTCGTCATGTTGGCCAGGCTGGTCCCGAACTCCTGACCTCAGGTGATCCGCCCTCCTCAGCCTCCCAAAGTGCTGGGATTAGTCATGAGCCACTGCGCCCGGCCCGGCCTGGAAATCTTATCTAAAAAGTAGCAACTGCTGGAAAAAGGGCCTGGGGCCTGGGGGGCGGGGGTGGTTCTTGTCACAGCCCCCAGGCTCCTGTCTCAGGGATGAATGTGGCCTTCTCATTGGGATTCTTCTCTTGTCCAAAAGGGCTGCTTTTGGGGACTAACAATACTGGGGAGTGGGGGTGAAGCCAGACCTAGCTCAGGGTGAGGATTTCGGGGCCCTGGCTTACTGAACACACCCCACACCCCAACATTCTCCTCCTTCTATCTCTTCCTCTTCTCCCGACCGCTTTTGTGCCGGGGCTGCGAGCTCCCTGAGTTGTGCGGTGACTAAATCGAGGCCGAGAAGGGAGGCTGCCCCCCAACCCTGTGGGTCAGTGCCCCTCTGCCAGCCTAGGAGAAAGTGGGTTTACAGCAGCCGAGCTGGGGGTTATTTTGGCTGGAGCTGCTGGAGCAGAAAGGCAGGAGTCTGAAATGCTCGGCAGGGTCTGGGGACCTTGTTGGACCCGCCTGGTGACCGGCTGGGCTGTCGCGTCCTACACGGGAGCTCCGGGCTTTCATTTCTCTTGTGGTGGGGTGGGGATTAACTCAGCTATTCCCATGGTAAGCCTGGGTCTCTAATTGGGCCCTGGGAGCCCTGTTAGGCCACCGGCATTGGGGGTCGGTGAGGAAGGGGACTCCCCAACTCCCCCGACTCCCAACCGCCCAACCTCCGCATAGCCTTGGAGACCCCTGGGGGAGGGGGCTGGGGGGCTTCTGAGCCCCTGAGTCTAGGTTCACTCTCCCGTCGGGCTGTGGGAGGGGACTTTCACTTTCCTTTGTCTTTGGGGACGGGACCCCACTTTCTTCTGATCTCAGGGCCATTGACACACACCCCCTTTCCAGGAGGGGGTGGTGGGCAGCTAGGTTCTCCCTGCCCCTTCCCGGGGCCGGCACCGTAGCAGCACAATCACCCCGGGAAGGGGGTGTCTTTTCGCCCCAAGACGCAATCGGGCCCCACTCGCAGAACCGCCTGGACCCTGTCCGTGTCTGCCCTCCGGCCTCCAGGGCTCCTCTCCCCAGAGCCGCCGTCCCGCGCCTGGGTCCCGCGCTGGGGGAAGCGCCTACTGCTTATCTCTGTCTACCTCAGGTCTGACTTTTGATGCCAAAATCTGAGCCCCTGGGGTGCCTCTCCCCCGCCTCCCGTGCACCAGGGTCTGCAGCAGCCACTGGGGCCTGGTTGCCTGCTGCATCTGGCGGCCCTGGAGGGGGCCATGGGCCCCTTTGCACCCGCCCGCCTCGGTGTCTGGGGAGGGGCTGCGCAGGGCCGTGGGCTGGGTCGTCTCTCTGGGGCTGCGTGTGTTGCGCTCCCGTGTGTACGTGTGTGTGTCGGGAATCCTGCGTGTCGTGCCTGTGTGGGCGATCCGGCCCCCTGGCTGTGGGTGGGACTGGATTCTAACTCAGGGGACTTGGGCCTGCTGTTAACTTCGATGATTGTAGGGACAGGTGGGGCGGGAGGTGGGTGGGCACGGGGCTGGGTCCTGGGCGGCCTGGCGACTCCAGGAGAAGGAAATCACTGAAGGCAGTGGTCGTGGAAATGGGAGGGGGTCGCAGGGGGTCTGTGGGGCCCGGTCCTGGATACTGGGTAGGAAGCCGTGGTTTCCAGAGGGTACTCCCTGCCTCAGGTGGCCCCATTCAACCCCAGCCGTACCCATCTCCCGCCACTGCCTGTCGGTGGGGGTTTAAAGTTGGGGTGGCTTTCTGGGGTGCAGCTCAGCATCCCCTCTTATGCAGACTGGGATGGGGTCGGGCACCTCCCTCAGCCACGAGGACCCTGGACGGGTTCGAGTTCTCTTGGGGCCGTGGGGCTAGCTGTGTACTGGGCGGGGACCCCACACTCGAGGCCGAGCGGGGGCTCTCCCTGCTCTGAGATGTTGGGGGACAGGCAGCTTCTGGAATCTTCAGTGGGACCCTTAAGTGGCCGTCAGGACAGGCGGGAGGGTGGGCATGGGGCACTGGGGAGAGCCGGGGTCGTTAAGGGTCACGCATCTGTACAGTCTGAATTTCCTTTATCTTTTTTTTTTTTTTTACCCACTTTGTCCCTCTTTTCCCCTAATTGTGCTTTTGCATTTTTTTTTCTTGGCAAACGTAAACTCAGCCTTTCATTCGTGACGTGTGAAATTTCAGTTTCTCTGGGGTTTGTCAGAGGATGTGGGGACCACGCCTGAAACTTAGGTAATGGAAGAAAAAAAAATAGACTTTAAAAAAATAAAAAATAAAAGAATCATAAAACTACTCTCTACCTCTGGCTGGGCCCAGCCTTTCTTGCCCTGGCCGCAGCAGGGTGGCCTGTAACAATTTCAGTTTTTGCAGAACATCCAGGTATTGAAAGGAAAAAAAATAAAAAAAGACAAAAAGACCAGAAAAAAGGTGTGATTTTGAAATTTAAAAGAACGCTGAAAGTTTACATTTTATAATAGCATTATTATGCAGATTGTATTTTAACTTCAGAAATATTTAAGACGATTGTAACCCTGTAAAGCTGATAAGATATTAAAACGAGACAAAACACTTCTTTTAACAGAAAAAAAAAGAAAGAAATTTCTTCTGTCAGATAATCTAAATCATCTCTCTGAAGTTCAAAGTTCCACAAATCTCTAGGGCAGGGGCAAAATGCTGCCAGTCTCTTTGCTAAAACATAACAAGAGTCACTTTTGCTCCAGTTCCCAACAAGTTGCTCATCTCCATCTGAGACCACCTCAGCCTGGCCCTTATTGTTCATATCACTATCAGCTTTTTTGTCAAAGCCATTCAACAAGTCTCTGGGAAGTTTCAAACTTTCCCATATTTTCCTGTCTTCTTCTGAGCCCTCTAAACTGTTCCAACCTCTGCCTTTTACCCAGTTCCAAAATTGCTTCCGCATTTTCGGATGTCTTTTCAGCAGCACCCCACTCTACTGGTACCAATTTACTGTATTAGTCTGTTTTCACGCTGCTGATAAAGGCATACCCAAGACTGGGCAATTTACAAAAGAAAGGTTTATTGGGCTTAACAGTTTCATGTGGCTGGGGAAACCTTGCAACCCTGGCAGAAGGCAAGGAGGAGCAAGTCACGTCTTACATGGATGGCAGCAGGCAAAAAGAGAGAGAGCTTGTGCTTTATTTTTATTTTTGTTGTGCATATATGTGTATGTATTTATTTATTTATTTATTTTTATTTTAAGTTCTGGGATACATGTGCAGAACATGCAGTTTCGTTACATAGGTATACATGTCTCATGATGTTTTGCTTCACCTATCAACCTGTCATCTAGGTTTTTAAGCCCTGCATGCATTAGGTATTTATTCTAATGCTCTCCCTCCCCTTTCCCCCAACCATGACAGGCCCTGGGTGTGTGATGTTCCCCTCCGTGTGTCCATGAGGAACTCCTCTTTTTAAAACCATCAGATCGTGTAAGACTTATTCACTATCACGATAACAGCATGGGAAAGATTTGCCCCCATGATTCAATTACCTCCCACCAGGTCTCTCCCACAAAATATGGGAATTCAAGATGAGATTTCGGTGGGGACACAGCCAAACCATATCAAGTCCCTAGAGTGAGTAGGTGGGTGGAGCTTATAATTACTGGATTGGAAGCTCATCAATATCTTTTAAGATTTATATGTCATAATTTGTCCAGCATCTGAGTACTTTGTAGCATGAAATGCTTCATGTTACAATGAAGTATTAGTCTCACATATTATAGGCGCTGTCTTCATTTTCTGTTGCTGCATAATGAATTACCATAAATTCAGCTGCTTAAAATAATACGAATCTATTATCTCACAGTTTTAGTTGCCTGGGCACAACAATTTAGGTGTTGTCTGAGGTAACTTAGGGTTTCTGAGTCATATTCCTCATTTTCTTCTGTCTTCCTTCCACTGCCTAATTATGAAGCCACTCCTAGTCTCAATTATAAAATCTGTCTTTGTTTTCTGTTGCTGTACTGCCAATTACTACAAATTTAGCAGGTTCCAACTAAGCCATTTATAAATTCATAGTTTTGTAGGATAGAAATCTGGTGTGGTGAGGCCAGTTGCAGTGGCTCACACCTGTAATCCTAGCACTTTGGGAGGCCGAGGCGGGTGGATCTCCTGAGGTCAGGAGTTCAAGACCAGCCTGGCCAAAGTGGTGAAACCCTATCTCTACTAAAAATACAAAAATCAGCTGGGCGTGGTGGCGGGTGCCTGTAATCCCAGGTACTTGGGAGGCTAAGGTAGGAGAATTGCTTGAACCCAGGAGGCAGAGGTTGCAGTGAGCTGAGATCGTGCCATTGCACTCCAGCCTGGGCAACAAGAGTGAAACTCTGTCTCAAAAAAAAAAAAAAAAAAAAAGAAAGAAAGAAAGAAAAAAAAAAGAAATCTGGTGTGGCTTGCTTGGGTTCTCTGCTCATCATCTCACAAAGCTGAAATCAAACTGCTGTGGGCTGTTTTCATCTGGAGGACTGAGCAAGGAAGAATCTGCTTCCAGCTTATCAGCACAATTGAGAGAATCCAATTCCTTGTGGTTGTAGAACTGGGATCCTGTTTGCTCACTGGCTGTCCACTGAGGCCACTGTCACATCCTAGAGGATACTGTATTACTTCAAAACTGCAATAGCATGTCAAATTCTTCTTGTGTTTTGAATCTCTGACTTCCTCTTTTGACATCAGCTGGAGAAAATTTTCTGCTTTGTAAGGACTCATATGATTAGAAAAATCTCCCCATGTTAGGGTCCATCCAGATAATCTCCTTATCAGTGAATCAGGACCTTAATTACATCGGCAAAATCTCTTCACAGCAGTATCTATATCAGTGTTTGAAAAACTGGGAGTAGGTGTGTATACAACAGGGTAAAAAATCTTGCCCATGGGCAGTGGGAGGAGGTATCTTATAATTCTGTCTACTATAAACATGTTGTTTCCTAAAATTTTCTCTTGAGTTGATTTAATACTATATTATTTTATTTTGGGGGGCAAAAGATATATAAAGTATTACAAATATTAATTTACTCAATGTAAATTTGGAGTGCCATTAATTGTTCCTCATGGCCTAAAAGGCTTAAAGCCCTGATAATAATCTCATTATAATAAACAACTTTGCAAGACACTGAATTGGTCCACTGACCTTTGTTTCAATTCATATGTCTTCAAAAATTCATCCCTCAATGTAAACAATCATAATAGACTCAACAGTCCAGAGAAATGGTGTAAATGGTGTACAAACTTCAAGAAGAGCTGTGTGTGTCTTTGTGTGTGTTTGTGTGTGATCAGAAAACCTAGATATATGTTAACATGAAATATTATGGAAGAAAATTAATTTAAGGAAGTGAGGTGGAAATGCAAACACAGAAACCAAAAGATGGAACTGTCCCCACAAATTTTAGAAATAGATTGTGTTCCAAACATCAAATAAAATCAAGCCACAGAAAGGAAGAAAATACTAAATACACAAGTAAAATTTGCTGTTTTTCTCTCAGTCTCTATTTATTTTGTTTTCCACATGCTTTAAGTTGATCACTGTTTCCTTTACTCAGCAATGCAGAAGAGATGAGTGATAGGAAGAAATTACCATGGCAAATCATGAATAGATTGATAACAGCTAGTGACTACTTTGCAAGTAGTTATTTGAAACTACTTGCAAAGTAGACCGGGTAAAAATTTATATAACAAAATGCAAAAATTGAGTAATTAACCGCTGAGTTATAAGAATTTGACTTAACCCTGATAATTCCTGTTGAACAAGGACATTGGGTGTTCTTCTATTAATTCCTTAATCATGACTCGTAGATTGAAAATGAGAAACACTTCTTGATAGATAAAACACAGATCTTTTTTTTTTTTTTTTTTTGAGACGGAGTCTCGCTGTTGCCCAGGCTGGAGTGCAGTGGCCCGATCGCTGCTCACTGCAGGCTCCGCCCCCCGGGGTTCACGCCATTCTCCTGCCTCAGCCGCCCGAGTAGCTAGGACTACAGGCGCCCGCCACCTCGCCCGGCTAATTTTTTTTTTTTTTGTAGAGATGGGGTTACACTGTGTTAGCCAGGATGGTCTCGATCTCCTGACCTCGTGATCCGCCTGCCTTGGCCTCCCAAAGTGCTGGGATTACAGGCGTGAGCCACCGCGCCCGGCCAAAACACAGATCTTATAGCAACAAGAGGAAAGAACTATGGGCCAAATTTTCTTAGCTATGCTTGAAGTAAACTTTGACAACTAATCACTCTTTATTTTATTTAAGAATTCCCAACCAGGAGTAAAAGTCCAAACCTGACTTATAAGGCATATAATTTAAAAAATAATAAAGTGAAATAACTTAATACAAATAACAAAATGTTGAAGGTAGGCATGTTAAATCCACACTATCAGATTGGGTTTTAAAGAGAAGGAGAGGAGACTTCAAGCATTTAGAAATCAATAGGAAAAAGATTGTTCTATTTTTATACCATAATGCAAAGGAGGCAGAGTGATTTTAAGAACATTGAAGTTAAAAGCAATTAACTTGGCCGGGCGCGGTGGCTCACGCCTGTAATCCCAGCACTTTGGGAGGCCGAGGCGGGCGGATCACGAGGTCAGGAGATCGAGACCATCCCGGCTAAAACGGTGAAACCCCGTCTCTACTAAAAATACAAAAAAAAATTAGCCGGGCGTAGTGGCGGGCGCCTGTAGTCCCAGCTACTTGGGAGGCTGAGGCAGGAGAATGGCGTGAACCCGGGAGGCGGAGCTTGCAGTGAGCCGAGATCCCGCCACTGCACTCCAGCCTGGGCGACAGAGCGAGACTCCGTCTCAAAAAAAAAAAAAAAAAAAAAAAGCAATTAACTTGGTAAAATAAAATAGAGGTAGGTAGATAATCAGATATATGTAAAAACAAACTTCAAAAATTATTTTAACATCATAATTTTAGATAAATTGAATCAGTGGCTTATTCTTGAAGGTATAGTAGCAAATGAGATGACTGTTAAGTAACAAACAACTTTTTGTTTGACATAGTTGAAGTTAGTACCATCTGTGTGCAAGAGACACCGTTCCTATCACACAGATAGCATGGGAAATACCTGCCTGCATGATTCAATTACCTCACACCAGGTCCCTCCCACGACACGTAGAAATTCAAGATGAGATTTGAGTGGGTGTGAGAAATCTACTCATCCATCCAAACCCAAAGAATGGACTTAGAGGCATGAAGAAAAGCGAAAGTGAGACTTAATAATGGTCTTGCAAGATTGGGTGTCTGGTAGGTAGGTACATCTGGGGCCGTCACAACAAGTAATTTATCTTCTAGTACGCAAGTCCCTCCCCAAGTTCCTCATTGGTTGAGTGCTATGGGGTTACAATTTTCCTGGATGTCACCTACGTTTCATTATCCCCCTTATAAGGTTATATCTCGGTCCTCTTTCTTGCTTGTTTCAATTTCCCAATAATGAAACTTTTTTCCCTTTTATGGGCTGACCCCTCCTTTTCATTGTTTGCTTACTGTGACCTTCTAGGTGCATGAGCAGTGCGGTTTGTTAAATTTGCAGGCTGGCTTCCAGTACTTTTGATTTATCATGCCTTGAAAATGGACCATTTAAAATGGTTTCTCATAAATTCCCTCCTCTTTTCTATTTATTTCCTTTGGTCTTCTTTTTATTTAAACCCTTTTGGTCTTTGAATCACTGGGGACGCAGCCAAACCATATCAGCATTTAAACACTGTTTCCTTATTAGGTAATCTGGATAATAAAACTCGCTCTTTCTACAATATGCCACATAAAATGGAAGTATAGATGTGACACTGTCATTAAATCTGTGAATTATATGTCATTATTTTTCTAAAACACATAAATCGTAGTGAAGTTATTCCATCTCAGAGACGGCCCATTTAACTATAATAAACTTCTAGGTATTCATTATATACTGTATTTTTTATCATCAAATCACTGATCAGATATTTTCCTTAATGATTTATTCTTCCATTTGACAAATAGATTTTGGGGCAAGTTCTTTGTTAGGTGTTGGCGTGGTAGCAGTGAAGAAAATTCAGCACTCGGGGACCCTGCTGTCTAATTGGGAAGAGCACATCGGGGGACACACAGACATGGGAACGTGCAGGGTTTTTAGAACTGAGAGACCCAATTGAGGCTCTCAGCAAAGTCATTTTTCAGGAAGTGGCATTTAAGCTGAGACCTAAATGATGATTTGTAGCCAGGAAAGAAATCCAGAGAGGGGGAGGGGAGACCACATAAGCAAAGACCTTGTGTCAGGAAAGAACTTTATACCAGAGACGGATGGAGGATGAGAGTGGAAGTCAGAAAGGCGGGGGCTGGGCCGGGCGCGGTGGCTCACGCCTGTAATCCTAGCACTTTGGGAGGCCGAGGCGGGCGGATCACAAGGTCATCAGATCGAGACCATCCTGGCTAACGTGGTGAAACCCCGTCTCTACTAAAAATACAAAAAAATTAGCGGGGCGTAGTGGTGGGCGCCTGTAGTCCCAGCTACTCGGGAGACTGAGGCAGGAGAATGGCGTGAACCCGGAAGGCGGAGCTTGCAGTGAGCCGAGATGGCGCCACTGCACTCCAGCCTGGGTGACAGAGCGAGACTCCATCTCACAAAAAAAAAAAAAAAAAAAAAAAAAAAAGGCGGGGGCTAAGTCACTGAGGCCTGAGGCTGCACAGGGAGCTGGATGGTGTCTTTGGAGGAAACAAAGACAAAGAGGTTCAAAGCTGCTCAAAGGTCTTGCAGGAAAGTGATAAAGTCAGATTTGCATCTTTTGAAAGGTCATATTAGCATCTTTTAAAAGGTCATTTATAGGAGTCTGCCCCAGTACTGCACTGCATATGCCACATTGATTAATGGCAAACACCACTTGGGCCCTATTTCCTGCACATCGAACTTGTAATACAGCATGCTCTGCCATGATGGGGACAGTACGAGATAGTTCATTATGGGAAGACATGAGAACCTCCTTTGTCTTGAACATGAGATGGAGATGTGGAGATGTTAGGAAAATTAGCAGAAAGCAAGCGACTTCTTTACTGAGATCTGGAGAATGAAAAGAATCAGGTAGTAAGGAAATGATAGGTGGGTGTAAAGGGAATGTGGCAGGTGTCTGAGGTGGTGTGGGCAGAGCCCATGAAGCTAGAAAAATCATTCTTGTTCAGAGCGAAAATTGATTCAGTGTTTCTGAATAGTTGAATATTCTGCTCCATGAACTGCTTCCGAGTCTGGAAGGGGCATGGAATATGAGATGACATTGAAGATCAACTCGGGCATAAAGAATTTGGGATTTAATCCAAAGGCAAGGAGGAGCTCTTACAGTATCTGAGGGGCACATTTAAGAGCAAGACAGATTATTTTTCAGAGAATCTGGTGTACATTTTGGAAGGATACCCCTGACTGCAGTGTAATTCCAACATGAAGGGATTAGGACTTGAGGCAGGTGGCGTACATAGGATGCAGAAACTTATGCCAAGGATGATGGCACCCTAAGCAAGATGCCAGTCATCCAGACAGAGAAGAGTGGGCACATTCAAAATGTATTAAGAATGTGGCATCCACAGGGCTTAGAGTGCCACTGAGCGTCAACAGTCTGGAATATGTGTTTTAGCAACTGATAGGATGTTGCTGTCAAGATAGGGGACGCTAGAGAATAAGACAGCTTTGGACGAGAACAAAGGAGGTAATACTGGTTTCAAACAGACTGAGTATTGCACGCCTGTAATCCGGGCACTTTGGGAGGCCGAGGGGGCGTGGGGGTGGATCACCTGACGTTAGGAGTTCGAGACCAGCCTGGCCAATATGGTGAAACCCCGTCTCTACTAAAAATACAAAAATTAGCCGGGCACGGAGGCACCTCACCTGTAATCCCAGCTACTCTGAGGCTGAGGCAGGAGAATCGCTAGAACCCAGGAGACAGAAGTTGCGAAGGTTGCAGTGAGCCAAGATTGTGTCACTGCACTCCAGCCTGGGTGATTCCGTCTCAAACAAACAAACAAACAAACAAATAGACTGAGTATTAATGGTCCGTGGCTCATGCAAGTGGAGGTGTCTGGTTAGCAGTTTGATATGAAAGACTGAGCTCCAGAGAGATCTCATAACTTGGGAATATGTTTTACTCCATACATATTCAGGTAAGACTAAAGATCCTGGGATTTTGGAGTCATGGGGGAAAGTGATATTATTCCTGAGCACTTGCTAGGAACTATCCCCAGGTTGCCTCAGGACCAGCCCCTCTCACTACAGTAACCCCATAAAGCAGTGCCTACACTTTACATTTTATGGGTTCGAAACCAGCTCAGTGGGACTTAGTTAACTGCCCACAGTCAAGTGTCAGCATCAAAACTGGAGTCTCACCCAAAGCCAGCTGACCCCAAAGCTCACACTCCTGTAAGATGTAATTGCTTAAGAGATCTTAGACCTCACCTGATCCAATCTCCTCTTTTCTTTCCCCCCTGAGACAAAGTCTCGCTCTGTCACCCAGGCTGGAGTGCAGTGGCGTGATCTCGGCTCACTGCAACCTCCACCTCCCGGGTTCAAGCGATTCTCCTGCCTTGGCCTCCTGAGTAGCTGGGGCTACAGATGTGTGCCACCACACCTGGCTAAATTTTTTTTTTGTTTTTTGTATTTTTAGTACAGACGGGGTTTCACCGTGTTAGCCAAGATGGTCTCAGTCTCCCGACCTTGTGATCTGTCCGCCTCGGCCTCCCAAAGCGTTGGGATTACTGGTGTGAGCCACCGTGCCCGGCCTCCTCATTTTCTTTAACAGATGTTTTTGGTTAAAACTCCTGAGTTGATTTGTTTTCATTACTCAAAGCATAATACAGCAACAATGATTAAGAACAAAGACTCCAGAGCCTTACAAAGCTCCCTGCTCACTGAACGTGGGCTCTGGGTGAAATCCCTTAACCTCATTGTGCCTGAGTTTCCTCATCTGGAAAATTATGAGTTCTCACTTCAGAGAGATGCACTGAGTGTGCATGCACAATAAGTGCTGTTTTATTTTTACTAATGTACATATTTGTAGACCACAAATGCATTTTTATAAAAGTTTCAAACAATGTCTAAGTTTAGCTAGTAAATTTCTCTAAACACACTGTGTTGTCTGGCTGCATTCTAGCATCAATGGAATATTACTTTATGCATTATTATCTGACTTCCTTTCTTCTCTCATGTCATTTCTGTCTTGGTGATCTCTCCGTGTCACGCCGTAGCTAGGTTTCTCTCCTACTTTCTCACAGCTGCACCCTGCTAGATAGCAAGGATTCAGAATGATTTTTCTATCCCTCACTGATAACATTCTAGAGAGTTGTCAGGTTTTTAGAAATTATTATTACAAACAGTGCTGCAGTAAACATTCTACTACATATTAGGGGGATGTTTTGTCCTTATTTGAGAATTTCTGTAAGAAAAATGCCTATGTCCTAACACCGGATGTAAAACATATAAATAGTTTATGCTAGAGCAAGAGGTTCATATACTGAGTGTTTCTAAAATATTTTTTTGATTTAATAGTTTATTACTTTCATTGTGTAACTGTACATGCTCCAAGTACATTCTACAGGAAAATCTCAAACACTTCAGGAAAGCAGTAAACATTACCATAATGTGATAAAATTGGTATTTTATTAATTTTAAATTATATTTCTAACACATAAGCCATATTACCCTTGACAAGGTACTCTTGTTAGGAGTCAGACAAATTTATGAATGTGTGCAATCTCTATTCTATTTCTGTCTAGAACTATATTTCTTTAAAAACTAGTAGCTCACATTCTTAGCAAACTAACATAGAGAAAAGAATAGAGGTTTTCAAGTTGGAAGATCTTAATCAGTGTGGTTTTTAAAGTTTCACCTTATTGAGTTGAATGAACAATGGGAGATCATAGTATTAATTATTCAAAAGTGATTAATGCAGGTTAAATGCCAATAGGCTGGAAGAGCATGTAAATGCATCGCTAAGCTCTTAGCAACTATAAAGATTTGTTTGTTTACATATTTCACCATATGGATATCATTGAACTCTTCAGCCTTATAATGGATATTTTGTGAATAAAATATTATTTTGCAAGAAATAAAAAATAGTGTTTGTCTTTAAGCATTGCACTGTTGAGACTACATTTACTCAATAGTTCAAAAAAGGTAATTTAGTGCTAGGAATATCATCTCCCCTGAGCATAGCTGCAATATGCTCTATACACAGGGAATTATCTGTTTTAAGATTTGGTATAATGGGGCCCGGCTCAGTGGCTCACGCCTGTGATCCCAGCACTTTGGGAGGCTGAGGTGGGCGGATCACCTGAGGTCAGGAGTTTGAGACCATCCTGGCCAACATTGTAACACCCCATCTCTACTAAAAATACAAAAAATTAGCTGGGCATAGTGGGGCACGCCTGTAGTCTCAGCTACTTGGGAGACCAAAGCAGGTGAATCGCTTGAACATGGGAGGCGGAAGTTGCAGTGAGCCGAGATTGTGCCACTGCACTCCAGCCTGGGCAACACAGCGAGACTCTGTCTCAATAAACAAACAAACAAACAAACAAAGAATAAATTAAAAAGATTTCATATAATGAGGCAGCTGCTTTTAACTGGAATGCAATAAATCCTCACATACTTTCGAAAGACTGACTTTGGTGAGATAGCATACTAGGCATAGAGAGACAGGGACCTCACTTTCAGGATTGTCACAACTCAGTGCCTGACATAGGCATGTAGGCAAACCTCATGCTGGGAAGTTCAGAAAAGGGAGGAAAGAACGTGTGGCGAAGGAGGCCAGGAAACACTCCATCTTACAGCTCTGTAAATCAGAGGTCTGCCACAGTCTTTCTGGGCTAACGTCTGTGCGTCAGTCGGACTATCATAGACTCAACATTCTTTAAAGACCTGAAATTGCAAATTATTTTATTTCCTGGTGCAAAACCAGGTGCCCGTCACCCACCCATCACCCAACACACATACACTTCTTTTGCAAATTGCTACAGTTACAACAAAGTTGTGGTCAATTTGCAGTAACAATTAAAGATGTCCATAGGTGTGAAGAGCTGAGGTAAGGAAAGTCACATTCTCCTTATATGAGCCTGACTCACAAAGGACTTACTGTGAAGGAAGGTGAGAGAGTCCTGGAGAGGCTACATGAGATTGCTGAGCCCTTTCAGAACCCACTTCTCAGGCATTGCTGGTTGCATGAGGTTACAGTTTATTGGACCTGCCCCATTACCTGATGGAGTGACCTGTGCATCTCTTCGAATCTCCCAGAAAGAGATTTGGGCTCATGGGGCCTGAGGGCCTGAGAGGCTGCTCCATAAGAGCTCAGTCTTCACAACTCACTTCAGCCGCTACTATGGACACTATGGAGCACTTCTTTTTTTGTTGCGGTTGAGTTTTGCTCTGTCACCCAGGCTGGAGTGCAGTGGTGCAACCTCGGCTCACTGCAACCTCCACCTCCTGGGTTCAAGCGATTCTCGTGCCTCAGCCTCCTGAGTAGCTGGGATTACAGGCATGTGCCACCACACCCAGCTAATTTTCGTTGTTTTTTTTATTTGTTTGTTTTTTTGAGACGGAGTCTTGCTCTGTCACCCAGGCTGGAGTGCAGTGGCATGATCTCGGGTCTCTGCAAGCTCTGCCTCCCCGGTTCACACCATTCTCCTGCCTCAGCCTCCCGAGTAGCTGGGACTACAGATGCCTGTCACCATGCCCGGCTAATTTTTTTTTGTATTTTTAGTAGAGACGGGGTTTCACCATGTTAGCCAGGATGGTCTCAATCTCCTGACCTCGTGATCCACCTGCCTCGGCCTCCCATAGTGCTGGGATTACAGGCGTGAGCCATCGCGCCCGGCCAATTTTCATACTTTTAGCAGAGATGGTGTTTCACTGTGTTGGCCAGGCTGGTCTTGAACTCCTGACCTCAAGTGATCTGCCCACCTCGGCCTCCCAAAGTGCTGCAATTACAGGCATGAGCCACCATGCCCAGGCACTATGGAGCACTTCTAAGGACTTTTGGGCTTTGGAGAATACCAACCTAGCAGAAATGGTTCCTTTTGGAAAGGACATTGGATGACATCAAATGCTCAGCATAAAGTATATGCTTTGGGTACCTGTCACTCTTCTAGGTTACCCTCATGAAAATTGTATGAGGAAGTTATTGTGGAGAAGCGATGAGGTGGGGTCATAGAGAGAACAGGGACTAAGAGGGTGCAAGAAGTTGGGGAAGTTGCAGAGCTAGGTGACAGAGGAGCATAGCAGAAGAAAAAGCCTCGGTGTTGGGAGAAAACATGAAGAAAAAATAAGTTCTGTGCTTGGTCTTATGATATGAACTGCCTGATGCTGGTGGCATGAGGGAAGGTTGCTTTAGCTATAAACGTACAACATCCATCAATATTCCACAGTACTCCACATTGTCTTTCTCCAAGCACTCTCCAGAGAAACAGACACCACTCATCAGTGGGAGAAAACTGAAGCATTTTGTAGAAGAATCTCCAATTATAAAGAGTCAATGAATGGATCCTTTTTATACGTGAGACTCCTGACCACATTGCATCTCGAAGGCACCTTGTTATCATTGTCATGTGACAGTTTTTGAATCTGGTGTTTTTCTTTCTGCAATAGTAAGGCCAATCCTGCAGGGACCGAAGTCTGTGCAATCACTGTGAAACACAGCTGGAAATAAGGCAGGAAGAACTTACAGAGCTCAAACGTGCCCATCAGAATATTTCGAAACATAAGTTACAGTATAGGAATTCTCCCCTAAAGTCTCCAAACTGGAGTGAGAACAGCTGAATCACTTTCATAATACAAAAACATTCGCAGAATCTCTATGAAATTATGAAAATTAAATTCTAAGGTGCATTTTCATAAATGGGGTGGTTGCTGTGTTTATTTTCTGTTGCTGCAAATTTTGCCACAGACTCACTGGCTTAAAATGATATGCATTTATTATGTCATATGTCTCCCGATCCATGGGAGTCTGCTTGGGGTCTCGTGAGGTTGGAATCAAGATGTTGCCTGGATACATTCTCATCTTGGAGGCTCAGCCAGGGAAAGAGCTGCTTCCAAGACCCCTCAGGTTATCAGCAGAATTTGTTTCCTTGTGATTGTATGACTCAGTATGCACCATCTTCCTAGCTGCCAGCTGCAGACCCCTCTCAGCTTCCAGAGATTCCTCTCAAGGCCTCCCCACGCGGCCTTGCATCTCAGCAGCAGAGAAACTCTCGCATCATCAACTCTCTCAGGCTTCTCACCTCTCCGACTTCTTCAAAGTTCTGATTAAGTCAGGTGCACCTCTGATTAAGTCAATGCACTCAAATAATATCCCTATCTTAGTGACAATTGTGCCATACAAATGACCTAATTACAGGAGTCAAACACATTATATTCATGGTTCCCGGGGTTAGGCAGGGTTTGTATGCCAGGTGGATGGGATATCGCCTTGGGAGCGCCATCTTTAGAATCCTGCCTACCACAAATCCCAATTCTATAACACAAAAGGCCTGAGTGCTTCATCGCCATCACAGCAGGAGGTATAAGTTTCCCAGATACCCAAAGGTATCTGCTGTCTGTCTCCACCTAACATCCCATGTTCATACCAGGTGGTGAAAAATCCACTCGTCATCCATACCATTCAGAAGCATACAGCCTGGATTTTGTCATTCTAGTTCTTGTCACTGTGTGTTTGAGCACATATTAGCTAGAGAAGCTCTTTCATCATCAGCTCTACACAGTGCAATCCTCAAAATGCCCACCGTTATCCAGAGGTTACCAATCTCTCTCTTTTAATTACACTTAAACTAGCAGAAATCTTCTTCATATCATTAACCCAAATGGAGAAAAGAAAGCTAGAAAATTATACATCTATTTTTCCACCAAGAGAGAAGAAAAAGAACATTTTCCTCCCACATTTATTGTGCCTTCAAGTGGTTATAGCAACCTGTTAAGATCAGCCAGTGTCGTTAAACTGCTTCCCAGCGAATACAGCCAGTGAAGCTGAAAGAGATAATAAAGTTTCTTAGGAGACTGACTACTAGACTAGCTTGACACTGGCTCCATACAGAAGAAAAAATAAATCAGTAGTTACACCTCTAGCAGCTACTGACTAGACATCCTTGCATTAAGGGTGGGAAATTCAATATACAAAGAAGCAAAGTGTTGACAATAAAAAGAAAGTAAAAACTGAAAGAAAACTGTAATTGGATTGAATATGGCTAAAATCAAGATATGAAAAAGCAGAAAACAAAGCCAATTCAAACCCTGAAGAAAGAATAAATGAGAAAATAAATGAAAAAAATTAATTGGCTCAGCAAGTCATGACTGGAAAAAATAATTAACATTATTAAATTATTCTACCTTCGGGCATGGAATAAAATGAAGATGTAAGTATTAATGTTAATTTCAATCTATTTATGAATGGTAAATTGCTTTCTCCTTCCTCTTTGTATGTTTAGGTCTGGGAAATTTGTTTGGAATTAGCAACCTGGGATGAGGTTTATTAAGACAGAATGACTATGAACTTGCCTGCAAAGTGGCCGCTCCTTTCTTCCCTTCTTTTCTATCAGGTCATTCGCCCATTGAGAGGTGGTATCTATTTCTGTGCCCCCATGAATCTGCATTTGCAGATTCCAAGATTAGGACATAAGAAGCTTTTTAGCTTTTGCCTGGGTCTCGTGGAATGCAGGGGAATCTGGGGAAAGCCAAGCTCTCTACAAAAACTCTGACTAGCCCAAGACTGTCATACTGTGAGGAACCTCAAGCTTGTCACATGGAGAGGCTGTGTGGAGACCAAGTTACCTGACCAGCTCCTAGCTCTTCAATCCATAGCATTCCAGGTGCCAGGTATAGAGGTGCAGAAGCTTTCTGACAGCTTCAGCCTTGTCTGCCATCTGAGGAGTCACAAGTGAGAACTAATCTGGAGTAATCAACATCACCATCCCCTGCCATGAAATCAATGCAGTGTGTTCATTCACTAAATTAGGAGGCAGCTTGTTCTATGCAGTGGTACAGAACAGGAACAATGATGCCTAGGGCTGGGGTACAGGTTGTGAAGGAAGAAAGTTCATGTCGGCAAAACTTCAGAGCATATTACATATTTTGTTTGTTTGTTTGTTTGTTTGTTTGAGATGGAGTCTTGCTCTGTCGCCCAGGCTGGAGTGCAGTGGCGCAATCCCGACTCACTGCAAGCTCTGCCTCCCGGGTTCACACCATTCTCCTGCCTCCTAAGTAGCTGGGACTACAGGTGCCTGCCACCACGCCCAGCTAATTTTTTGTATTTTTAGTAGAGACGGGGTTTCACCATGTTAGCCAGGATGGTCTCGATCTCCTGACCTCGTGATCCACCCACCTCGGCCTCCCAAAGTGCTGGGATTACAGGCGTGAGCCACTGCGCCTGGCGAGCATATGAAATCTTAAAGATCACGCAGCTGAATTTCTGAGCTTAAAAAAAGGAAACCAGGTACTCAAAGAAGCTGTGACCTGCCGAAAGTCACCCAGCAAATTAATAGTGGAACCAAAGCAAAAATCAAGTTTTCAGCATGTAATGTCCTTACACCACGTAAAAAAGGTTTGGGTTCCTTAGTTTGAGAAACATCAATACCCCTTCATAAATCAAGGGCATAAACTTTGTAGAAAAATTAAACTTCTTACCACCTGGCATCCAAACTGGAGTGAGAACAGCTTTGCCACATCTACATTCCCACTCCTACTCAGAAGACAGACTCCAAGAAGCATAAAACTTCTGGAGTCCTGGGGTAACCTGAGCAAAGCCCATGATAGGTTTCCAGGAAGCAAGGGCATGAGCAGGGGTGGAGACTGAAGCCCCATCCCTGCAAGGGTCCACTCTGAACCTCAAGGCCCATAATCCTCCCCCATATTTCTCTGCTCTGCCATTTTTGGGTGCTCTGTCAAGTCCCAAACCCCTCAGTAAGTCTGTCTTTTCTTCTACTCTAAGCACCTCTATTCTTCTAGCTCACCCTTTCACTGTGGTCCTGCCTTCCAGCTCTTTCCTTCTGTGCCCTCTGGGAACTCATTACATTTTCAAAAAGGACTATCTCAACATCATCACAGAATGCCCTTGTATAGCATAGCGTTTGAGAGTATGGCTTGGAAGCAACAGTCTGGATTTCTAATGCAGACTCCACCATTTACCAGTCACAAGCCTTAACAAGTCACTTAATGTCTCTGAACTTCAGTATCTTCCACTGTAAAATGAAGGTATCCATTGTGAAGATTAAATAAGATGATGCCCATAAAATGCACAGGCTAATACCTGGCACACAAAAAAATAATAAAACAACAAAAAAAGGGTTGACTATACATCCTCAACTCCACTGAAGCCTAGACCACCATTTGCAATGCCCTTGTAGAACTCATTATTTCCATAGTTTGTCTACCATAGCATCAGGAAACATTTCTGGTAAATTTCCATCAATTCCTGGTTACTGGTGTTCATAAAAAGAAGCAAGTAGGCTAGGCGCCGTGGCTCAAGCCTGCAATCCCAGCACTTTGGGAGGCCGAGGCGGGCAGATTATGAGGTCAGGAGATTGAGACCATCCTGGCTAACACGGTGAAACCCTGTCTCTACTAAAAATACAAAAAAATATTAGCCAGGCTTGGTGGCGGGCGCCTGTAGTCCCAGCTACTCAGGAGGCTGATGCAGGAGAATGGCGTGAACCTGGGAGGCGGAGCTTGCAGTGAGCCGAGATCGGGCCACTGCACTCCAGCTTGGGCGATGCAGCGAGACTCAGTCTCAAAAAAAAAAAAAAAAAAAAAAAAAAAAGCAAGCAAGCAAACAAAATGACAATCTCACTTATCCTTTTAGACAAATATCAGCTGATTACAGCAACCTCTACCATTTCTAGCAAGTGTCATCTTCCAAATGGGTCATTTTCTTACATCCATCACCATCTTCTCAATTCCTCAATCTTCAATTTCCTTGTGGATGACACTTAAGTGCTAGGAACTTGCAATTCCTTCATGTGTAAATGACCTTCACTGTTGCTCCTTTTCAGCACCCATGCCATGGACCTACTTGGAACTTCTCATGACCTAGGATGGTACCATCTTTTTTTTTTTTTTTTGAGATGGAGTCTCGCTCTGTCGCCCAGGCTGGAGTGCAGTGGTGCAATCTAGGCTCACTGCAAGCTCCGCCTCCCGGGTTCTCGCCATTCTCCTGCCTCAGCCTCCCGAGTAGTAGGGACTACAGACGCCCACCACCACGCCTGGCTAATTTTTTTTTTTTTTTGTATTTTTAGTAGAGACGGGGTTTCACCGCGTTATCCAGGATGGTCTCGATCTCCTGACCTCGTGATCCGCCTGCCTTGACCTCCCAAAATGCTGGAATTACTGGCGTGAGCCACCGCGCCCAGCCAGGATGGTACTATCTTTAAGGATTTTTTTTTTTTTTTTTTTAGATGGAGTCTATCTCTGTCGCCAGGCTGGAGTGCAGTGGTGTGATCTCGGCTCAGTGCAACCTCCGCCTACTGGCTTCATGCCATTCTCCTGCCTCAGCCTCCCAAGTAGCTGGGACTACAGACGCCCGCCACCACGCCCGGCTAATTTTTTGTATTTTTAGTAGAGACGGGGTTTCACTGTGTTAGCCAGGATGGTCTCGATCTCCTGACCTCGTGATCCGCCCGCCTCAGCCTCCCAAAGTGCTGGGATTACAGGCTTGAGCCACTGCACCCAGCCACATACTTTTTAAGATAATAAATTATCCAATACTATCTAACTATGGAGACTATCACTGGGTTCATTCATAAGATATAGTGACCTTAACCCCATTCATTCAAACCATATCAGATTCTCTTTTTTTAGTGCATTGAAACATTATTCTTTGCCAACCTTCTGTATTGATAAACATCAGGATGGCACCAAAAATCTAAAATATGCAATTCTGTAAAATGTGGCCGTTGTAAATGTGAATTTGGTGGGAACTTAATACCTGAACCATTATTTCCTCAGTTGGCAAAGTGAAGCTATTTCCTCTTCTTTATGAGATTGCAGCAGAAACATGCAATTTAAAAAGCAGGAGAGAATTAGGGATCACTCAGGCCCAACACGATTCCACCATAACCCTCATTTTTCAACCAAAGTAAAAGAATCTCATGCATGTTGCGTGACTAGCTGTTGGAAATGTTCTTGTTAAGACCCCTTCATGAGTAGTACCATGTCTTCTGGCTCTCGGCCTGCTGCTCTGTCCACATGACATAGAAGAGTCACAACAAAGTGACAGACAGTCACAAGTGCTGCAAAACCATTGAACAAATGAACAACTGTGGGTTCCTTGTCAGTTACTAGCAAAACAAAGGTGCAAAACTAAAATTGTTATATTTATATTTATACCATTAATAAATGTTACAAGGTTATAAACATCATACAATGTATGAGGGATTCCTGTTATCTTTCTTATAAACCCACTGTATAGATGCTTTCCCACACATGCTGTTCTATCAGAGACCCTTTTCCTGTTTCTGCCTGCCTTCTTGATCTCATCCAAAAGGTCAGAAGAGTCTGGCTCTCACCTGCAGGTTCAGGGAAGCCCCAGTAGCACACTCATGGCTTTCTACTCTCTCCTATTCTCCACTGCAACTTAAAGATCCTTCACATCTTACCTCAAGACAACAACTCCATGGTCATGGCAAAGCATTGAGTATAACTACTATATATTTTTTACAAATATACTTTAAATTATCTCATATCAATGAAAAGAAACACATATATGGAGTAAAAAAAAAGTCATTCACTTCACACCACTGGCTCTCTCACTTGGGGATCAGGGAACACTAATTTCTTGAAGATCCTTCCAGAAATAATCCTGTACCTTTATATGCATGTATATGTATAAATCTTTTTTGGAAATTTCAACTGAGAACATATTTTGGGGTTCCCACGACTACATCATGGTCATGATTTGCTCAGTGATTCACCGGAAGGACTCATATAAGTCAAAAAGTTATGCTTACAGCTAAGATATATTACTGCAAAGGATACTGTGCAGGAACTGTGAGACACAGGCATGCATAAGCAAAGACTAGAGAGGTCAGGCCCAGGTTTCCACGTTCCCTCTCTCGCGGGAATTGTGCAGACACGCCCTTTCTGGCTGCAAACTGCGGAGATGTGTGGCAGGCATCTCCACCTCAGAAAGTCCGCTCATTAGTGACCAGCCTGCCCAACATGGCGAAATCCCGTCTCTTCTAAACATACAAAAAATTAGCCGGGCGTGATGACAGGCACCTGTAATCCCAGCTACTAGGGAGGCTGAGGCAGGAGAATTGCTTGAATTCAGGAGGCTGAGCTTGCAGTGAGCCGAGATCACGCCATTGCTCTCCAGCCTGGGCGACCAGAGCGAAACTCTGTCTCAAACAAACAACAAAAAAAGTCCACTCAAATCTCAGAATCCAGAGTTCTTAAAGGCTGCTGATCACACAGCTACCCAACCAGCCAAGTTGCAGATGCCAAACAGGCACCAGGTACACTTCATGAATTTTCATGTTTAAACAATGCTGTCAGCCTGGTACATCCTGACCCACTGCCTGGGCCATAGAGAATACAATCTTAATCACTGACCAAACGAACATTCCTGACGTTAGTTCTGTGGCTCCAAGCTTTCCCAGAGATTAAAAAGAGCTGAGTAAAACAAACCTATTGTAGTAACTTTTTATTCACAGAGCACAATATGCACACTATTCTGTATCTTGCCTTTTTAAAAGGCAATATATATTAACGTTATCAGTAAATATGACCTTATTTTTTCATGGCTGCTTGTTATTCTGGGGCATGGAGGCACTATTATTTGCTTAGTCAGCCACCTATTGCTGGAGAACTGGACCTGTACTATTTCACTGTTATAAAAATTGATACAATTAACATCTCCATTTAGTGGGGGATATGAGTATTTCTCATAAGAATCACCATTTAGAAAAGAATGAATATGGCCGGTCTTGGTGGCTCATGCCTGTAATCCCAGCACTTTGGGAGGCCAAAGCAGGCGGATCACAAGGTCAGGAGTTCGAGACCAGCCTGGCCAATATGGTGAAACTAAAAAAAAAAATACAAAAATAGCCGGGCGTGGTGGCAGGCGCCTGTAGTCCCAGCTACTCAGGAGGCTGAAGCAAGAGAATCGCTTGAACCGGGGAAGTGGAGGTTGCAGGGAGCCAAGATCGCACCACTGTACTCCAGCCTGGGTGACAAGCAAGACTCCATCTCAAAAAAAAAAAAAAAAAAAGAAGAAGAAGAAGAAGAAAAGAAAATAATGAATATGAAAGTGGACTTATAGTAACCCACCAGCCTCCTTGTGGATTGCCTTCTTCCACTCAGAAAAGTTGTCATTTATTTATTTGTATGACATTGCCAATTATCCCTCTTGTGTTATTTTTAAAATTTTCCCACCAGCCGTCTAAATGACTGTCACCTCCTCCCCACGCCCTAAGGCAGCAATTTCTGATTTGGAACCATGGGAATTTCACTTTCACAATTTCATCTGCCAACATGCAATAACATCTGTCTCTATGCTGATGTGGTTGTGCATCTGGGCTTGGGTTTAAATCTCTGTACCACCTTAACTAGCAAAGTGACATTATGCAACTGACAATCTCTTGTGATTTTTCTGTGAATTAATTGAATATTTATGTGTAACACACCAAGTGTTCTGCAAATGCTAGCTTTACTGGATTATTTAGTATTCTAATTTAAATTGATAAAATTCTTTTTATGATTGTCTTCTGCTAAGCAGTAATATTTAAGGCTGATGTGTGATTTATATATTATTCCAAGACATATAACTACAAGAAATATGCTTTTCCTATCCATAGTTTTAAAAGCACTGTGTTAATCAACAGAATATTATTAAATATTTGGACAGTATCAGTTTGAAAAGTTAAGTGAAGTTATATCTCATTGCTGTGACCCTTCTTTTGTGGTACGTTCTTCAAGGTAAAAACAAAATATGTATCAATCAAATGAAACACTGTTTTGTTCTGAATGTTAAATTCGCTTTAAGTAATTGCTTATTGTTTTTCTTCTAAAATGCCATATTCCCAGGATGTTCTAGGAACTTCTGTTTGGCAAAAGTAAAATCCTTATCACATGAAGGACCTGCACGGTAGGAAAGAAAATTATCTTACATTTTAAGTTGTCAGTGAATTTGAATAGTAATTCCCAACTTGAACTCATGAGAAGTAGTTAACCTTTTCAATTAGAGTTCTGATGAGTTTTTAATATAAGCAATAAATCCCTAATTATTATTACAGAAAGCACAAATTAGGGAAAAATTACAGTCCTCAAAGACATGGCTAAATCTAAACTCTTAGGTGCCTGGAAATTATTTACTGATAGAAGTAATTAGAGAAGAAACCTGGTGCTTTGTTCCACTAGAGTGATAGCTGCTGGGAAGAAGGCACCTCTTGGATGCATAGACATCAGGGAGCAGTGTCTGGAGCTGGGTTCATCAGGGAGCAGTGTCTGGAGCTGGGTTCTTTTTTTCTGAGATGGAGTCTTGCTCTGTTGTCCAGGCTGGAGTGCAGTGGTATGATCTCCGCTCACTGCAACCTCTGCCTCCTGGGTTGAAGCGATTCTCCTGCCTCAGCCTCCTGACTAGCTGGGATTACAGGTGCCTGCCTGCCAGCACACCCAGCTCGTTTTTGCATTTTTAGTAGAGAGGGGGTTTCACTGTGTTGGCCAGGCTGGTCTGGAACTCCTGACCACAGGTGATCCACCTGTCTCTGCCTCCCAAAGTGCTGGGATTACAGGCATGAGCCACCACGCCTGGCCTGGAGCTGGGTTCTTAAGGCCCATCCAATTGCAGGGATAGGCAGTAGGTCAGGGTGGCACATGAACACAGTTTGGAAAAGTCTACACAATTTCAGACGGCTGAAAGTTGAGGTAAAAGGCCGAAATTAAACCAGTCTATTCCACAGAATAAATGTTCTTGTTGATATTTGAAGTGCACCCAAGAAGTACAGAGTTGCAAATGATTCACTAAATTTACTTCATTCTGCTCCAAGTACCTAAGGGTACAAGGAATTGGAATCTTCTGCCTTCCTTTTTAGGGGACAGATGAGAAATAGAGAAAGGGAAGCCTCTGAGAACGGGGAGGTAGAAGGGAGAGCAAAGGGTCTGTTGTAAGGGGTGTGGGAGAGACAGCAGATTTGGAAGCAGGGTACATCCAGCCCTCTCTGGCCTTCTTGGATGAGCCTCTCTCCTCCCATCTTTGGGACTACAATGGGGATTACCTCGTTTTTGTTTTTTTGAAGAAAGCATGGTTACATTTGTCTTATATATTTTTTAATTTGTATGAATTTATGGGTAACAAGTGCAATTTTGTTACATACATAGTGGTCAAGGCAGAGCTTTTAGGGTATCCATCACCCAAATGCTGTAGATTGTACCCATTAGTAATTTCTCATCATCCCCCCACAATTCTGAGTCCCCACTGCCTATCATTCCACTGTCTACATCCAGGCAGACACTTTTTTTAGCACTCACTTATGAGCGATATTTTTCTATATCTGGCTTATTTCGCTTAAGATAATGACCTCCAGTTCCAACCATGTTGCTGCAAAATACGTGATTTCATTCTTTTTGTGGCTGAATAGAATTCTATCAGGTATATATACCACATGTTCTTTATCCAGTCATCCACTGGTGGTCCCTTAGGTTGATTCTATATCTTTTCTATTGTGAATAGTGCTGCAAGAAACATGAGTGCAGGTACCTCTTTGATATATTGATTTATTTTCCTTTGAGTAGATACCCAGTAGTGAGGTTGTGGGATCGAACAGTCGTTCTAGTTTTAGTTCTTTGGGAAATCTCTATTTTCAATAAAGGTTGTACTAATTTACATTCCCATCAACAGCATATAAACATTCCTTTTTCTCCATATCCTCACCAACATAGCAGATGAGACATTTTATCTTTTTAATAATAGCCATTTTAATGAAGATGATATCTTATTATGGTTTTAATTTACATTTCTCTGATGATTAGTGTTGAGCATTTTTTTTATATGCCCATGCTGGCCATTTGTGTGTCTTCTTTTGAAAAATGTCTATTTATATCCTTTGACCACTTTTAAAGAACATTATTTGTTCTTTGTCTTTTTTTTTTTAATTTTTTTTTTAGACAGAGTTGCCCTCTGTCGCGAAGGCTGGAGTGCAATGTGGAGTGCAATGGTGCAACTTTGGCTCACTGCAACCTTCACCTCCCAGATTCAAGGGATTCTTGCCTCTCAGCCTCCCGAATAGCTGGGATTACATGTTCCCACCACCATGCCCGGCTAATTTTTGTAGTTTTAGTAGAGACGGGCTATCGCTATGTTGGCCAGGCGGGTCTCAAACTCCTTAAGTGGTCCAGTCGTCCTGGCCTCTGAAAGTGCTGGGATTATAAACGTGAGCCACCATGCCTGGCCTTGTTTGCGCTTTTTGTTGTTGTTGTTTGTTGAGGGAGTCGTTTGAGCTTCTTCTATATTCTGGATATTAGTCCCCTATGGGATAAATAGTTTTCAAATATTTTCTCCTATTCTCTTATTGCCTGTTTACACACCTGGTTATTTCTTTTGCTGTGCAGAAGCTTTTTAGTTTAATTGTCCCATTTGTCTAATTTTGGTTTTATTCCCTGTCCTTTTAGGTCTTAAGTCATAAATTCTTTGCCTAGACCAATGTCCAGAAGAATTTTCTCAAGGTTTTTAGTATTTTGATAGCTTTGGGTCTTACATTTAAGTCTTTAATACATCTTAAGTTGATTTTTGCATATGGTGAGAGATAAGGGTCTGTGTCCAGATTTGGTTCCTGCCAGTGGGTTGGTGGTCTCACTGACTTCAAGAATGAAGTCACAGACTTTCACGGTGAGTGTTACAGCTTTTAAAGGTGGCACGGACCCAAAGAGTGAGCAGCAGCAAGATTCACTGTGAAAAGCGAAAGAACACAGCTTCCACGCATAGAAGGTAACCCAAGCAGATTGCCACTGCCAGCTGAGGTGGCCAGCTTTTATTCCCTTATTTGTCCCTGCCCATGTTTGGTTTTTGTCCTATCAGAGTGCCCTTTTTTCAATCCTCCCTGTGATTGGCTACTTTTAGCTACTGCTGATTGGTGCGTTTTACAGAGCACTGATTGGTGCATTTTACAGAGCGTTGATTGGTGCATTTTACAATCCTCTTGCTAGCTACAGAGCGCTGATTTACGATCCTCTTTTAAGACAGAAAAGTTCTCCAAATCCTCACTCGACCCAGGAAGTCCAGCTGGCTTCACCTCTCAGGTTCTGTTTTATTTTCCTGCATATGGCTATCTAATTTCCCAGCACCGTTTATTGAAAAGGATGTCAAGTGATTTTTCTGCATCTATTGAGGTTTTTAATCCTTCATTCTATTTTCGTGATGTATCACATTTATTAATTTGCATATGTTGAACTATCCTTCCATTCCTTATGTACAACCCACTTGATCATGGTGTATTACCTTTTTGATGTGCTCTTGAATTCCATTTGCTAGTATTTTGTTGAGGATATTTGCGTCTATGTTTATCAGAGATATTGGCATGTAGTTTTCTTTTTTTGTTTTGTTTTGTCTTTGTCTGGTTTTAGTATCAGAGTGATACTGGCCTTGTTACATGAGGAATGAAGAAGTCCCTCCTCCCAGATTATTTGGAACAGTTTCAGGAAGATTGGTATTAGTTCTTCTTTGTTCATTTTATGGAATTCAGCTATGAATCCATCAGGTCCTGGACTTTTTTTTTTCATGGGAAATGTATTTATTACTGATTCAATCCTGCTACTCATTATTGGTCTATTCAGGTTTTCAGTTTCTTCCTTCTTCAATCTTAGGAGGTTGTATGTTTCCAGGAATTTAGCCATTTCCTCGGGATTTTTTTGGTTTGTGAGCATGTAGTTGTTCATAATAGTCACAGATGAAATTTTGGTTTTCTGTGGTATCACTTGTAAGTCTTCTTTTCATTTCTGATTTTGTCTCTTCTCTTTTCTTGGTTGCTAGCAGTTTATCAATTTTGTTTCTCTTTTCAAAGAATCAACTTTTTGTTTCATTGCTCCTTTGAATGGTATTCTTACATAGATGCAATGATAATATGTTCTATAGGCTTTAGAAGAATCTTAGTGCATTGTCAAAGAAACATTTTTAGTTGAGCACATACATTATGAGCAAAGGAGTGGCATTAGATCTTCATAGTAGAGACAGTTATAGTGTTTCTAATACATGTGTTTCTTAGAGAGAATCTAACAACATGGAAAGGGCCTACTCACAAAGGCCACTGTGCAAAGATAACAGGAAACTCCCCAAAAGCTTATCTTCAAGTTAGCTGCATCAAGTCCTGTGGTGCTTGAAAATCTCTCCATTAATGCTGAATTGAAGACTACAGGGAGATGAAAAGACTGTAGGATTAATATGCTTCATCACGATAATCTATAATATTAAGAAATAATTTAAAATTGTTGAACAAATATGTCATGGTGTATGTCCCAAAGGTTCATTATGGGCTATTGAATTAATAACTTTATAAATCTATTCACATATCACCTAAGACATAAAATTATTTTCAAAAGAAACAGAATTTGATATACAAACATTTAAGAACTCGAATTGCCTTGTAAAGATGTCCACATACGATTGGGAAAGAAGGCAGACCTTCCCAGAGGGAGTGAGTAAAGCATCATCAGCAAATAATAAGTTAAACAAAGTGAATAAAAGCTTATTGTTAGGTTTGTAATGTTTGTGACAATATTGTAGGAAATATTGTACATAAAATGCTGTATGGAGTATAAACTCAGATGTAACAGGATCATATTTGAAAATAGTAAATATGTTTAATATTCTTCTTCTTAGTAAATCATGTTCCCTAGCCATCATTTTACCTTATTGCAATACCAATCCAAAAAGAGGAGAATAAGAGGCCATGTAGTTCCACATCAGCCCAGAAAAGGCGTCCCCTTTTTCTGGTCATGACAGATTATGAGAATGAAAAGGGGATGAAGGCAGAAAGTTCAGGAGGTGAGACACATATCTAAACTCCTCTATCAGAGCTAAAGTCCCAGAAGTCAAGTCTTCTTAGTTACACTGAGGAACAAGTGAAGAAGAGATGATGACTTTAATTTAGCTTCCTACTTGAGTTTTTGAAGGGAGATCACTTGGCAGGGTACTTGTGGCAGCCTGTTCAACAAATGTTTCCAGTTCTTTTCCCTTTCAGGTACACAGCATGATTGTAATTCCTGTCCACTTGAGGTAGGGTGGAACTATGTAACTAATTCTGCCCAATGACTTGTGAGTGGAAGTGGAAGCATTTGATTACCAGAGTGAGACCATCCAGAGCTCTTCTTTTCCCTCTGGCACAGAGTTTTTCACATGTCTTTCAAGACAACACATATATTAGCTGAGAATCTGGGTACAAATTAACAGAGGAAATGATCAGGAAGTTAATTGAGTCTGTAGTCAAGGGCAGCAATGCTACTCAATGCCAGCAATCAGGTAGGCCTTACAATCAGAGTTTGGAGTGCCTATAGCATCAGCAGAAATGATGTGGCACCCATCAGCAAAGGGCGATGTACTTGTTTCTGGGAATATGGCCTATGCCAACTGAATGGCCAGTGGGACGTAGCAACCACAGACTTTGGAAGTGGTGTTAAAAAAAACACCTGTGATTAAGTATAGATTAACTATACCTTAGTGATGTCATCTAAGGATCTAAGGACTGAAGGACCTGACCAGTGGAGACCAACACAGATACTCATATGTCCCAAGAAACTCTCTCCACCCACCCAATGCCATGAATTTACATGAGCCCTCATATGCCCAAATTCCACCTTGGAAAACATTAGCGAGAGGACATGAAAATCTGGAAGACAACACTTACTGGAAAAGATCTCATCTAAAATAGGCTATTAAACCCGTTAGAGATTAGGCCACTGACTTACATTTGGGTATTTCCAAATCTAGCAAATACTTCTGTATTAGTTTTGACTAAAAATGGAATTACAAGCAGGTAGTCATTTCCTATAACATCTCCAATACTAGAGGTTGTTGACGATACTGAAAAGAAAAATGATTAATTCATTTTCATGATATTTTCTAGGCTCTAAAGCAGGGATCTTAAAAATCAGAGCAGCCAAATGCTTCTACTCTGTAGGATTAATCTATGGCAACATCTTAATGAGTCTTGCTTATCTGGTGCCTATCTTCACACATGTTGACACCTATACATATTGGGTAAATTATGATATGATAAAGCTAAAAGTGCTGATCATAGGTAATGATAAGTATCATTTGCACAAACAGATTAATTCACGCAGAATTGACATATCTGACTCCTTGGCCACATTTACCATTGATGCTGTTATGTTTGACTGTAGATATCAGATTCATTTGACATTCGAAATGTCATTTAATACAACTCAGAGGAAAGGGTGAAATAAAAATAAAGGGTCTATTGGCTCTCATATTTCTAGTAACTATTAGAAGAAGTAGTAAACAGAAGTTCATATCTCATGGCTACAAGCAGAATGTTTCCCTGTACAGTCATACAACTTTATCAATGCTGTATTCCAAATGCCTTTTTATTAGATTTGAGTCACTGCACTTAAGATCTGGGAACATTGACCAGCTCCATCTGGCTGGCCTTTGTATCTGTGAACAAAGTAGAGAAATACACAAAGGTTAATAATTTTTTTGGGGGGGGAAGCTGAGAAAAAAGGGTCACTATTATGAAGTTTGAGCCTAAACTTTTTGGATATATTAACATTAAATACAACATGTATCAGTAAACATTTAGATTTTATAAATTATATATTTTAATAATTTTTATTATGTATTTATTTGAAAAAATCAGTTTTATACCATATTCTATTTTGAGATATTGCATTCTAATAAATAGTGGTGAGTTCATATGGCTAAAAGTGTCATAAAGAAATGCTTAGGGGTGAACTTTCCTATTGTAAGTATTTTCCTTGTATTTTGTAATCTGATTTTAAGCTATGGTGATCGGTTGTGCACTAATAATGGTATTTCTCAAAGGAAGAAATAGTATAATATAAAAAGTATTTCATAAAGTGCTCAATTCTTTTTTTATTGTTGTTGTTGTTGTTTGTTTGTTTTTTGAGACGGAGTGTCTCTCTGTCGCCCAGGCTGGAGTGTAGTGGCGCGATCTCGGCTCACTGCAAGCTCCGCCTCCAGGGTTCACGCCATTCTCCTGCCTCAGCCTCCGGAGTAGCTGGGACTACAGGCGCTGCCACCACACCCGGCTAATTTTTTGTATTTTTAGTAGAGACAGGGTTTCACCGTGTTAGCCAGGATGGTCTCCATCTCCTGACCTCGTCGTGATCCGCCAGCCTCAGCCTCCCAAAGCACTGGGATTACAGGCGTGAGCCACGGCGCCTGGCCAAAATTAATTCTTTTCTATGGACACATTAGGGCATTTTTCTGGTTCTACCAACATAAACGGTAGCTAGTGTTTTGAGAAAGCATTACTAAGTAGATCAGGATTCCAATGCTGGAGAAATATAAGGAGAAATAATAAAAAGTCGTGTTTAGTCTTTCTACCGCTTTTCTGTTTGCAAGAAAAAAGACTGTCTTCTCAATGATCCTTTTGACAAAGTTAAATGTTAATAAAACTATCACATCTATTATTTAATTCATTGGACTTTCTATTTGAATGTTTCACTGACAGCAAGGAGTATACCGCTCTACAAACTTTCAATGAGGAAAGTATATTGCTCTACCAAGTCATTAATAAAGTAGTGTTTTGGCAGGCCATGAGAGTTAATTTGAACATTTTCTGGCAAGAGAGAAAAAGAGGGCAAAACAAATACCTATGTCCAATTAGACCGTATCAAATCTCTTTGGACCATACTGTGAATCTCATTGCCACCCCTGTTTACTAACTTGGCACCCTTAGAGTAGAATATGATGGTTATAACCTTATAGGACATGTAACTGAGAAAGTTCAATGAATGATTAAGATTAGAGACAGAATAATTCCAAGAACAGACTATTGTTTTGACCAAGTGGAGAGTCAGTGTAGTTTACTGTAAACTGTGTGCATGCACCCGTGTGTGTGTGTGTGTGTGTGTATAATCTTGTTTTCTCAGTCTTTTGTGTAAATAATCTTGGAGAAAAGAGTTTTCTATAGGAGATAATTGGGAAGAAAAAATAGTTTAATTTTGTCTCAAAAAACACAGAAAAAATAGTTTAATTTTATTAGCACTTTCTTCTTTGGATTATATTTCAGATTTTAGTAATCTGGTTTTTTATCGAATGATATTTAGAAATTACAATTTTAGGTTAAATATTAATGCAATATTTTTGAAAACAAAGTAGTCAAATCCTAATTTTGAGAGCTTTACTTTTTTACTGACTTTGCCTTTTTGGAATGTGCTTATCAAACATTTAAAAGCCTATCTATTTTGCAAAATTGCATATGCATGCAATTTGAAATGCAGCATATTTACAGTTGTAGGGCCATTTTACTAAATTTATTATCTGGAACTCAACCTTAACCTGGAAGACCCATATGTAAGGATTTAATAATAAATTATTGTAAATCAAGAGTATTCAAATCATACTTTTTGGGTCAAATTTTTATAATGATGTAAAATTCGTGTAACATAAAATTAACCATTCACCATTTTAAGTGTATAATTCAGTGGCATTTAGCACGTTAACATTGCTGTGCAGCTATCACTTCCAGCTAGTGCCAAGTTATTTTCATCAACCCTAAAGGAAACCACATGTCCTTTAAGCAGTTACTCCCTATTTCTCCCTTGCCCAGCTCCTGGCAACCACTAGTCTGTTCTCCATTTCCATAGACTTACCTTTTCTGGGTGTTTCGTATAAATCAGATCAAACAATATGTGACCTTTTGTGTCTCGCTTCTTTCACTTAGCCTAATGTTTTTAAAGTTCATCCATGTTATAGCATATATCAGTACTTCATTTTTTTAGAGTGGAATAATATTTTATTATGAATAGACCTCATTTTGCTTATCTCATTCTTTCATTGATGGATATTTGGGTTGCCTCCGACTCTTGGTTATTGAAAATAGTACTGCTATGAAATCAGTGTGCAAATATCTCTTTGAGATCCTGTGTTCAGTACCTTTGGTTATATACTGTACTAATCTAGGTTATCCAGTTAATATAAGGAATTGGCTTATGTGCTATGGAGGCTGAGAAGCTGAAGATCTAAAGTCGACAATCTGGAGACCCAGGAGAGATGATGGTATGGTTATGGTCTAAGTTTCAAGGCTTCAGACCCAGGAGACCCAGTGGCATAAATTTCAATCTAAAGGCAGGAGAAGACCAACGTGTCAGCTCAAAGACAGGAAGAAAGAAGAAATTCTTTTTTGGTCAGCTTCTTATTCTATTCTGGCCTTCATAGAATGCATGAGGCCCACACACGTTGCAAATGGCAATCTGATTTACTCAGTTTATCAATTCAAATGTTAATTTCATCCAGAAACATCCTCATGGACACATCTAGAAATATTTAACCAGATATCTGAGTACTCCATAGCACAGTGTAGCTGACATATAAAATTAACCATAAGAAGTGGGATTGTTAGATCATATGGTAGTTCTGTCTTGAATTTTTTGAGGAACTGGCATACTGTTTTCCATAGCAGTTATCATTTTATTTACATTGGTTTTATTTGCATTCCTCTAATGATTAGTGATATTGAGCATCTTTTTATATGCTTGTTGGCCATTTGTATATCATCTTAGGAGAAATGTCTCCTGAAGCCCCTTTCTCCATTTTTTAATGAGGTTATTTGATTTTTTTTCTTGTTTAATTGTAGTTCTTTAGATTGTCTGAATATTAACCCATATATATATATATATATATATATATATATATAATGCAAATCTTCTCTCCCATGTCATAAGTTACTTTTATATTCTGTTGATTGTGCCATTGGTACAGAAAACCTTTTAAGTTTGATGTAATCTCATTTGTCTATTTTCGCTTTTGTTGCTTGTGATTTTGGAGGCATATCCAAGAAATCATTGCCGAATCTAATATTGTGAAGTTTTCTTCCATGTTTCCTTCTGGGAGTTGTATAGATTTGCATCCTACAGTTAGGCTTTTAATCCATCTGAGTTAACTTTTGTATATGGTGTAAGATAAGCCCCTACCTTTACTCATTTGCATGCAGATATTCAGTTTTTCCAACACCGTTTTTAAAGAGACTGCCCTTTCCCCATCGAGTGATTTTGTTATCCTTATCTGACATCACCAAATATTTGATTGTTTCTTTCCAGGCCCTCTGTTTTATCACATTGGTCTATATACCTGTCTTTATGCCAGAAATATATTGGTTTTGATTACTGTAGTTTTATAACATATTATAAAGTCAGGAAAGTGTGAGTCCTTTAACTTTTTCTTCAAGATTGTCTTAGCTATTTTGGGTCCTTGAAATTTCACATGAATTTTAGAATGGACTTTTCTATTTCTGTAAAAAAAAAGACATTAGGATTTTTATCGGGATTGCTTAAATCTATAGATTACTTTGAGGAGTATTGACATGTCAACAATATTAAGTATTTTAATCCATGACCATAGAAGGCCTAAATTATACTTGTTGAGAGATGGTGCTTTTAAGTCATCATTTGTTTTTGTCTGGTAATTAGCTGAATCATTACTGTCACTTTACAATTGCTGCCCATTTCTTTGAGGAATCTGAGAGAAAAATTACAAGACAGTTTGGCTAGAAAACCAGAGATCACAACCAAAGTTCTGTTTATGGAGCCTCATTTCCTCCACCGGCTCTCGGTGACACTGCCTTCTCCAGGTCCTTGTGCCAGGCCTACCTCTGACCAGACTTGCTCAGTTTTCTTTCTATACCTCTGTCTCTGCTGTGGTCAACTACTTCTTTATAATATAGTTTTTATTAATTTTCATCATTTTTGAGAGTCTGAAACTTAGTGTGCAATCTAACAAATATTTTTAGTAGTTAAATTAATGAAGTACCTTAAAATCATAAAAGTAACTAAAATTTAAACTGTTATTCAATAGTAAGAAAGTGGTTGACATTATATTTACTGAAACCCCAGACTTATTTATTGAATTTCATCTTATCACTTTTCTGAACTATGAAGGAGATAGTGGTGTTAATTACATATGAAATTCTTGGTTCAGGTTATGATATTTGAAATTTTTCTAATCCTTAGTAAAATTTCTGCAAGTGTAATAAACTCTGGTATATTTTTTTCCCACAGTTCATATATTTGAAAGGATTCATCAGATTACACAAAGTGTACTTTTTTTTTTTGACAAAAATGCAAATTATGTGATACAGCAAGAGAAGGAAAAAGCAAGCAAACATTGGGAGTACAAGAGACATTTTGACATCCCAACTCTCCAGGGCCACCTTCTTTTCATACACGGGACCAGGCTGTGTCTCTAATTTGAACCTCTAAGATCTGGACCAGGAATTTTGGCTTTGTGGGAGTTCAGAGAAGCCCTTATAGGGGTGTTATAAGTCCCTGTAGTCATATAAGCAAGCCACGCTTTTCACCTGGTTATGTCAGTGGCAAACCATTAGTAAAGAAAGTAAGTATTAAAGTCTCCGGGTCAGAACATAAACAGAATTACATAAATCTTACTGACCCTAGCTTAGCCAAGGGTAAAAAAACCAGACATCCAGGTGTTTCCAGATTCAAAGACAGGTTTTTCAGCCCAGTTACAAATCCATTTTATCTACATACACATCTTGAAAACCTAAGAAAGTAGGAGGGTCCATAGTAAAGATTTTTTTTTTTTTTTGACAAGTTCTCACTCTGTCACCCAGGCTGGAGTGTAGCAGCATGATCAGAGCTCTCTGCAGCCTCAATCTCCTGGACTCAAGGGACCCTCTCGCCTCAACCTCCTGAATAGCTGGGACAATAGGCATGTGCCACCATGAGATAACGTTTTTTTTTTTGTAGAAATGGGGCCTATGTTGCCCAGGCTAGTCTTGCCTAAAGAAAGGTCTGGGTTTTACCCTTGGCTTCTTGGAGGTAATCTCTAGCTCTTGGAACATCATGCCTGATAGGAACATCTTTGCTTTCCTGGGGACCTTGAGCCAGCAAGATATTAACAATGTGATTTAAAGTGGGGTTGGAGCTTTGAGTCACAGGCTACATGTCCTATAGGTCTGAAAACTTAAGACAGCCACATGCACAGTCAACTATCTAGTAATGGATAAGACTCTGGACATCAAGGCTCAGGTGAGCATCCCTGCTTGGCAGTACTACCTAAGCAATGTCACACATTGATGCCAGGAAATGCTGTCCTGATTCCACAGGGAGAGAACAATAGGAAGCTTCACATTTGGTACTGTCTTGGGCTTTTCTCTATGCTTCCCTTTTCTTGACTGATATTAATCTGTATTCTTTCACTGTAATAAATCATAACCATGAGTCTAACACCTTTCAGTGAGTTCTGTGAGCCCTTCTAGTGAATTACCAAACCTGAAAGTAGTTTTGGGAATCCCTTGAACTTGCAACTGGTGTTAGAAGTGAGAGTGGCCTTGTAGACTGTGCTCCCTTTAACTTTCACAGGAGGTAAAAGATGGTCTTCTTTAAATCCCCCACATTCTGTATTTTATAATAAGAACACAGGACTGTTATCCTATATGATAGGCTGACATAGAGATTTCAGCAGGATGTGCCGGGGAAGCGTTGGAAGTACAGATTGGATGAATAAGAAATCATAGAATTGGCTCCAATCATGAAAGCTAAGGATAGAAGATTGAAGAGTATGGATGTTTGTTCTTTACCAAACAACTTAATCATTTAGAAGAGTAAAATATCAAAAATATTTACATGATATAATATAAAGGTACCTTTGGCAACTTGAAAGAGGAGATCTAAATGCATATAGAAAGAGAATCAAAGAAGAGGATGTTTGAAAAATAAAGACAATTCCAGGGCTTCAAGCCTGAGTGATAATGGGGCAATTATGAGTAGGAGAGGAGCAGGTTTTAGAGATTTGCTGCCTAGAAGAGTTTTGTGCTTGTTGAGCTTGAGGTAATCTGTAAGATACCCACATATAGGCGAGTGAGGTGGCTGATGCTTGTAATCCAAGCACTTTGGGAGGCCAAGGTGGATGGATCATTTGAGGTCAGGAGTTCGAGACCAGCTTGGCCAACATGGTGAGACCCCCCCATCTCTACTAAAAATATGAAAATTAGCCAGGCACGGTGGCAGGCACCTGTAATCCCAGCTACTCAAGAGGCTGAGGCAGGAGAATCGCTTAAAATCATGAGGTGGAGGTTGCACTGAGCCAAGATCACGTCATTGCACTCCAGCCTGGGTGACAGAGTGAGACTCCATCACACACACACACACACACACACACACACACACACACACACACACACACACAAAGATACCCACATATAAATAATCCACAGTAGCTTCTATTCTGGAGCTAAGAAGATAAATTGAGCATGAACACATAGCAGTGATAGTTACTTAAACCTGGTAAAATGGATAGAATTGCCAAGTAGAGGATGGAAATGAGAAGCAAAGAAGATTGGGGTAGGATTTTTATGAACACCTACATCAGAAATTAGGCAAAGGAGAACTGGGGAGGAGCAGGTGTTAGAGCTGTCATAAAGCCCAGCATAGCAACCTACAGAAGGGAGTCTTAGAGAGTGGTGGCAGAAAATCAATGTAGCGTTCTTTTTAAAACTGCATACTTATAAATGCACATTTTTGTTATCATTAGGCTTTTAGGCTTTTGTTTACTTCTTGAACAAGTTTGAGTCAATAGAGCCTCATGACCCTTTTATATGCCAGCACGTTTTTCTCTAAAAATCTCTCACAGTACTACTTACAAGTTGTATTATCTGGTTTTCTTCTTCTTTTATAGATTGTAAATTTATTGAGGAAGGGCCTAGATACACAAGTAGCCCATAGTTAGTGCTCCAGTTCAAAACATTCCTGTCATAGTTCAGTAGTTAAAAAAAAAAAAATCAGTCTTCCAGTAAAGGGAAGTATGGTTTCTCTGACCAAAAGCGAATCTCTGTGTCCCTTGAGTTACCTATTTTTATTACTAGAATATTTATTTTCAAAGTATAATTTTCAGAAATTAAAAATATGTTGCAGACTGGGCACAGTGGCTTACGCCTGTAATCCCAGCACTTTGGGAGGCTGAGGCAGATGGATCACCTGAGGCCAAGAGTTCAAGACCAGCCTGACCAACATGCAGAAACCCCATCTCTACTAAAAATACACAATTAGCTGGGTGTGGTGGCACATGCCTGTAATCCTAGCTACTCGGGAGACTGAGGCAGGAGAATTGCTTGAACCCGGGAGGTAAGGTTGCAGTGAGCTGAGATTGCACCATTGCACTCCAGCCTGGGCAACAAGAGTGAAACTCCATCTAAAAAAAAAAAAAAAAAAAAAAATGAGGTCTTTAGAATTTTTTCTAAGGAAAAAAAATATTCTCAGTAAAATTAGGTTCAGAGGAAATAAGGAAACAGCTCCTGGACCAATGATGTGACATTCCTGAGCTGTTGTTTCTCTTCTGGACTTCTATCTGCCCAGAGTTCTTCCACAGGATCTCTGTGAAACTCAAATTAGAGAATGTATGGGAAAACTTTCTAAATTATGAAGTATTAAATTGTGAGAAACATGTCAGGAATCACTATTCCTAGGTGCTTCCCCAGGTGCCTCACCCTAATGGGATTCAGACCTACTTAGAGGAACAAAAATATAGAGACAAACACTTCCCTCACACATGTAGGTGGATTTTAAAGGTCCCGCAATGAGATTAATGATCATTGCACATGTCAGATGCCCCCTTTCACACTTATTTTAAATTCATTTTTTCAGTCCATGTTAATTATGGAAGTCCCTTCCCCGTAAAGCAATAGAAGTTCTGCTGTGTTTTGGCCGGGCGCGGTGGCTTATGCCTGTAATCCCAGCACTTTGGGAGGCCAAGGAGGGTGGATCACCTGAGGCCAGGAGTTAGAGACCAGCCTGACCAAAATGGAGAAACCCCATCTCTACTAAAAATACAAAATTAGCCAGGCATGGTGGTGCATGCCTGTAATCCCAGCTACTAGGGAGGCTGAGACAGGAGAATCGCTTGAACCCGGGAGGCGGAGGTTGCAGTGAGCTGAGATCACGCCATTGCACTCCAGCCTAGGAAACCAGAGTGAAACTCCATGTCGAAAAAAAAAAAAAAGTTCTGCTATGTTGCACTCGTGAAATGCTGGCATTTTGGTTTATGTTGTGAGGACTCACTTTACAATCAACAAAGATAAAACCATTATAGAAATGCCAAACTATTAATAACTGTTGTTTAATTTCATTAGAAGAAAAGATGGCTTATCCTTAAAAATAATTTGTAAAACATGGTGGCAACATTTTGAATTATTCTTGAGTACACAGATTGTTTACCAAATACTTTCAACAAATTAAACAAAATGTGAAATTGCAATTTGACCTCTGCAACTGTCTTTCTCATCTATGATTTTATCACTTTTATAAGATCCTTGATAAGATTTCTCATGGAACATGTGGATCAGCAAAGAACATTCTTATTTTTTCCACTTCCTTGTTTTTTTCCACTTTGTCATAGATTATTGTATTTCACTTTATTTAAGCTGTGTCGTCTAGCAGGCGTAGCTCTGGGGGCACCGCTGAGCCTGTTGGCATCTGTTAACATGGCTGTGGGATGTGATGAGTCATGGATTGTCCTGGACATTACACAGTCCATTGACTTTGGGTACAATAATATGTTCTTGTTTTACGTTGGCTGTACTATGATATTACTAAAAGGAAGGTGTTCCTTCTTAATTCCAATACATTTCATTTCCATTTTGTGAGATCTGTCTTTGTAGTTCTTTGCCTCCTTTCTCTTCCCATGGTTCTCCTTCATATTCTAGACTTTTTTTTTTTTCAGCCTGAGGGGGAAGGACATTTCTTTGTGGAAAATAAATAAATGACATAACACATTAAATAATTCAAACTTGGCTCAGGTGAAGTGTTTACAGTCACAGAGTCTTGTACTATCCTTAACCAGAGTAATTTAAATTATACCCATGTTAGTATTTAAGTAACTAAAATATTACTCCCTTTGTGAACATCAAATCAACATTTTACCTGAATTCTGGGATTATCAGGATACAAAGCATTTTAGGTATGTTACAGGTTATTTTTTTAGCAATCTCGAAAGTCTTTTTCCTACTTCAAAATTTGACAGTATAAGAGAAGCCTTTTTCTGTGAGATTCTTTAAGATCAAATATATGTCAAACTCTCAGATAATATCTTCCAGCTTGAAATAACAAATATTACAGATCAGTACAATACAGCCTTAGCTGCTGGTGAGACAATCTCTTTGATATTGAGAAAGTTTGAAAGTATGTCATACATCAGTATAAGAATAGATGCTCCTTGGTAAGGAGTAGTAGAATTCTGGGTAAACTGTACTTCTAATAGGTTTTTGTGATATTTTTAGGGTTCTCTACATGTATGATCATATAATCTGAGAAGAGGGATGATTTAATTTTCCCCTTTCCATTTTGGATATCTTTTTAAATTTCCTCTTCTTGCCTAATTTTTCTGGTTAGGACTTTAAGTGCTATGTTGAATAGACTGGCAAACGTGGACATCCTTGCCTTGTTCTTGATCTTAGAGAAAACCCTTTCAGTCTTTCAACACTGAGTGTGATGTAAACTGGGGGCTTTTTTTTTTTTTTTTTTTTTTGAGACAGAGTCTCGCTCTGTCAGCAAGGCTGGAGTGCGGTGGCGCGATCTCGGCTCACTGCAAGCTCCGCCTCCCGGGTTCACGCCATTCTCCTACCTCAGCCTCCCGAGTAGCTGGGACTACAGGCGCCCCACACCACACCCGGCTAAATTTTTGTGTTTTTAGTAGAGACCGGGTTTCACCGTGTTAGCCAGGATGGTCTCGATCTCCTGACCTCGTGATCCGCCAGCCTTGGCCTCCCTAAGTGCTGGGATTACAGGCGTGAGCCACTGCGCTTCGGCCCCTGAGCTTCCTCCTTTTTCACAGTTGTTCTAGCTAAAGGCTTGACAATTCTGTTCATGTTTTACATAGTCAACCCTATGTTTCACTAATTTCTCTATTGTTTTTCTAGTCTCAATTTCGTTTATCTCTGCTGTAATCTTTATTGTATCTTTTTGTGTGCCAGATGTGTGAAGTTTCTTCTTTTTCTATTTCCTTAAGGAATAAAGGTAGGTTGTTGATTTAGTTCTTTTATAGTATAAACATCTACAGCTATAAAATTCCTTCTTACTATTACTTTTTCAGCATCTCACAAGTTTCAATAAACTGTGTTTACATTTTTATTTCTCTCAGTATATTTTCTAATTTTCCTTGTATTTTTTTCTTTGACCCATTGGTTACTTAAGGGTTTGTTGTTTAATTTCCACATATTTGTAGACTTTCTAGTTTTCCTCCTGCTATTGATTTCTAGTTTCATTCCATCATAATAAAAAAAGGTACCGTGATGATTTTAATCTTTTAACTGTATTAAGACTTTTTTGGGGGCTTAGCCTATGGTCTACCCTGAATTATGCTCCATGTATACTTGAGAAAAAAATGTGTATTCTATTGTTGTTGGGTGAAGTGTTTTGTATATGTCTGTCAGTTTCAATTGGTCTATAATGTTTTTCAAGTCCTCTGTTTCTTTACTGATCGTTTCTCTGGATGTTTAATCAATTATTGAAATGTGACATTAAAGTCCCTATAATTCTTGTACATCAGTATTTTCCTCCTTTCAATTATGTCAACATTTGTTTCATAAATTTAGGAGCTCTGATGCTTACTGTGTATATATATATAAATATATATATATTTATAAATGTTATATCTTCTTGGTGAATTGACCCTTTTGTCATTATATAGTGTCCCTCTTTCTCTCTTGTGACAGCTTTCAACTTAACATCTCTTTTATCCAATATCGATATAGCCACTTGCTGCTCTTCTTTTAATATTTGCGTGAATTATCTTTTTTCCATTCTTTCCCTTCCCCAGTGCGTGTCCTCGGATTTATAACAAGTCTTGTGTAGACAGTATATAGTTGCATCTTGTGTTTTTATCCATTCTGCCAAAATATATATTATGATTAGAGATTTACTATTGCCATTTTGCTAATTTTTCTCTATGTCTTATAGGTTTTTTCCCCTTATTTCCTCACTTACTGCCTTCCTTTATGTTCAGTTGAGTTTTCAGTGACATTTATTTGATTTTCTTCTTATTTCTCTTTGTGTACATTCTCTAGATATATCTTTTGTGTTACCATGGGGATTACATAAAACAGTTAAGTTAGAAAAATCAATTTTAAACTGATAGCAACTTCAATCACATACAAAAACTCTACTCCTTTATAACTGTCTTCACACTCCCACTTTATGTTATGTCACAAAGTATCTTTCTATATTGTGTACCCATTAATATAGATTTATACTTATGCTTTTTAAACTTTAAATCCTATTAAATAATTAAAAGTGGCATTACAAATGAAAATTATAATAACACAATTTTTAAATATTTGTCCATACATTTATCTTTACCAAAGAACTTTAAATTTTTATAGGGCTTGAAGTTACTGCCTAGTGTCCTTTGTTGCAAGTTGAAGGACTTTCTTTAACATTTCTAATAGGAATGGTGTAGTGGTTACTATCAAGCAAGTGAAATCAGTTGTCTATCACCAGGAGTGAAAACCCTGATACTTCTGCCTACTGCATCTTGGTATTGGAGTTGCCAAGGAAAACACAGTACAGCCAATTGCTGAATAGATTAATGCTTTACTTACACAGAGTAGAGGCAGAGCACGACCAGCTCCACTAGTGGTCATGGGTCTCCCATGGCCAGTAGGTCCTGCCCAGCAGCTGACACAGGACAATTTGGCGGTACATACCTCTCTTGTGCTACAGAAGAACCCTTCCCCTCCCTGCAGGGGGCAAATGTAGTATCAGGTTTGGCTAGGTGCCATAATATGTGCAATTTTAAGCTGAACGAAGGAATACACATTGAGTCTGAAACAGGCTAAAATATTCCCACACAAGTGATAATCCCAGTACAGGATATGAAGGTTCTTTATTCTCGTGATAAAGAAGTTGTCCAGACCTTAGGCCCATTGTCACATGGCCAAGTGAGGGTCAAAAGATTGCATGCACAAGACTGCCTTTCCCAACAGTAACAAACTCCTCAGTTTTTTTGTAGAAATGTCTTACTTCTCTTCATTTTTTTGAAAAACAAATTTACTGAATATAGTATTCTCAGTTGACAGGAGTTTAAAAAAAATCAGTTAAATATGTCATCCCACTGCCTTTTGGCCTGCAAATTTTCCGATAAGAAATTCACTGTTAATATTATAGATTTTCTTGTACATACTAAGTCACCTATCTCTTGCTACTTTCAAGATTCTCTTTGACTTTTGACAATTTGATTATAATATGTCTTAGTGTGGATCTTTGTGGATCCATCCGATTTAAAATTCACTGAGCTTCTTGTATTTGTATATTCATTTTTTTTTTTGAGATAGTCTCACCCTGTCACCTAGGCTGGAGTGCAATGGTGTGATCTCGACTCACTGCAACTCCTGACTGCTAGGTTCAAATGATTCTTGTGCTTCAGCCTCTCGAGTAGCTGGGACTACAGGCACACACCACCACACACGGCTAACCTTTTTTTGTATTTTTAGTAGAGGCAGGGTTTCACCATGTTGGCCAGGCTGATCTCGAACTCCTGACCTCAGGTGATCCACCTGCCTTGGCCTCCCAAAGTGCTGGGATTACAGGCATGAACCACTGCGCCCAGCCTGTGTATTCATTTCTTTCCTCATACTTGGGAACTTTTCATCCATTGTTTCTTCAGATAAGCTCCCTGTCTCTTTGTCTCTTCTTCTTATGGTAATTCCATAATGTATATGGTTCACTCGACAATGTCCCATATGTCCCTTAAACTCTGTTCACTTTTACTCATTCTTTTTTCTTTTTGCTCCTCAGATTCAACAATGACAAATATCTTTAAGTTTACTGATTCTTTCTTCTGCCTGATCAAGTCTCCCTATAGTAAATTTTTCAACTAAGTTACTCTGTTTCTCAGGTTCAGAATGTTTGTTTGTTTTCTGTGATTTTAAAATTATCTCTTTGTTAATATTCTCATGTCATTCATAAAATATCTTCCTGAGTTTGCTTGTATGTCTGTTCATGTTCTCCTTCAGCTCATTTAGCATACTTTAGACATCTTTATTGTTTGAATATCTTTATCAAATAAGCCCAAGCTCTGCTGTTCTTTAAGATCAGTTACTGGAGATTTATTTTGTTCCTTTGAAGGGGCTACGTTTTCCTGTTCCTTTGTGTGTCTTGTGATCTTTTGTTGAAAATTGAGCATTTGAAAAAAGTAGCCTTGTCTCCTAGCTTTTTGTGGACTGGCTCTATGCAGGGGAAGACCTTTACTAATCATCCTGGCATAAAGGTACAAGCTCCTTTCATACTTTTACTGGAGATGTGTCTTTCCTTGCCTTGTGTGTATGCTTTTGTTCCAGTTCCCCATATACAAGGCTGCTTTAAATGTCTTAATTTCCCCAAGAGGCATATTGCTGCTGCTTCTTAGAGGTCAGGGAATTTTTATTGTTTTCCTTTGTCTATAATCTGTGCCACCGGGGGTCTTCTGACCGCTTGTGGCTCTTAGTCACCATGGTGCCTGTCTGTTTTAAATGACCTTGAACCTATTCAAGGTCATTTGAATGGCTATTCAAACTATGCCACCACTTCCATCAGCTTTTTAAATCAGGTAAGATAGAAATAGTCTTCCAGTCAATCTCCAGATAAGCTCCTCTCTTCCTCTTCCAGCTTGAGGCTGGAACTTGGATTGGACAAATTCCTCCTGATCACATCACACTATGTTGAAGAGGAGGTGGGTTAAGGGCAAGAAAAATGCCATGAAATTTCATACTGCTTCCAATGTGGCCTTTTGTTCAGTTAGGCATTTGCTTTGTTTCTTAGCTAATTTTAGGAGTTCTTACAAAGTGACTTTGGTCTATATATTTTTTATTTGACATTTTTATGGGAAAATATGGCCCTGGAGCTTCCTAATCTGCCACTTGCTGATATATCTTTAATGAATGAAATAAATTAATAAAATCAGAAACAGGACATATTTTATAATATAAATATACAATATCTTAAGAAGAACAATTTGGATGCTGGCATGAATGTTAATCCTTCTCTTTTAGCAAAAACGTTTCCACATTATTAATAGCGCTCCCTCTATCAGGGAGTGCCAAAGTAGCGTTCTTTTAGTATTGGAGACCCAGCTCTTAGTGTTTAGGTTTATGTATATCTGCTCTGCTTCTGAACAGTACATTACTTCAGAGTTAATTATTTTATTACCTACTTCTAAAAGAAGCAGTAGCTTCTAGTTTGGCGTAATTGTCAACTGCTTACATTTAAAATAATACAACATAATTTAATGTCTGACTGTGATAAATGCCTGTGAGATTTGCCTCCAGATGCAGGCACTGGTACCCCCTTACTGGGCATCCTCCTCTCATACTCTGTTCTCCAAAGACCCTCAAACCTTTTCTTCCCATGGAGGAGTATATTAGTCTGTTTTCAGACTGCTCATAAAGACATACCCGAGACTGGGTAATTTATAAAGGAAAGAGGTTTAATTGACCCACAGTTCTACGTGGCTGAGGAGGCCTCAGAATTATGGTGGAAGAGCAAGGGATGCTTTTCCCAGGCGGAGAGAAAGAGAACCAAGTGAAAGGGGTTTCCCCTTATAAAACTATCAGATCTTGTGAGACTTATTCACTACCACAAGAACAGTATGGGGGAAACCACCCCCATGATTCAATTATCTCCCACTGAGTCCCTCCCACAATATGTGGGAATTATGGGAGCTACAATTCAAGATGAGATTTGAATGGGGACACAGCCAAACCCTAGCAAGGCGTTCTTGTAAAGGAGTGGCATCAAATCCTCCTTACTTGCTCATTGTCATGATCCTGCATTTAATTGATGGGGCAATTCCACATAGTACAGTATCCCTGTAACTCTGCAATTCCCCTGAATATAGAGAGCATCCAGGTGAAACTGTACCAAGTATCCATTAAAAGAAGACAAAATAACAATTTAAAAAGTGTAAGAATGAAAATTTTTGTTTTCTCAGCCATCATATAAGCATTTGTATTATATACACTTGTAGCCAAATATTATGGAGTCAGGTTTGTTAGAGATTTAAAACATGATATAATTGTAACGTATCATATTTAAGAAAATAAGTGATTCTGTACCAGCTACTTGAATTGGACATATTTGATTTTTTTAATGCTAAGCTGTAAATAATTTATACATTTTATAAATATGTAGTATGAGTTTCAACTCAAATTCTTTGAGAACAATTCCCTAAATGGAAACATTAAAAGTCATGGAATGCAGTAAAAAGGAAATTACCAAAAACACCTACAAAACATAAAGATGAAATTCAAGTGGTCCAATGGATAGGAAAATGTCCTGGAGTTGAGAAAATTAAGGACCTTAAAAAATTATTGATCAAGTGGCTTCACCCAAGATTACCACTTTTTTAAAAACAGGATATGAGAAGATTTAAATGATGTAGTTCAGAACACTTAGAAATGTATCTCATGGCTTTAAACAGGATAGACTCTTAAAAACAAATGGTCAGATTAACACCTTACGCTGTCCTGAATCCTGTTCAAATGGGATTTCAAGCATTTATGAGCACATCATGGTAGTAAGAAACTGGAAGAAACTGCAACCTTTAACATGAGGATGTTTGCAAAATGGTGCAAAGTTGGAAGAAGAATAGAAATTACAGAAACATCTCTGTATAGCATTATAATTGCTAAATGTGTATATTTAGCACTTGATTTTATAGATGAAAAATTGAAACTTAATTTAAGAATAAATGTCTTTATTATTTCTATTTATAGATAGAGAACAGGAATGGAGAATTCAAATGACTCACCAAAGTCACACGGTAATTTTAAATGTTGAAAATGTGACCCAGATCAGACTCCAATTTTGTGGGTCTCCTTATCTATGTTCTGCCTTCCAGAATCAGGAATAGTCCCTACTGACCTCTCAGTAAAAGTGGTGACAATGCTAAAATACAAGGTCCTTAATGTAGATTTGAGATTTTCTAAATAAGTTACTTTTTTTTTTTTTAGAAATAATTTGACAAAAGTGACATTCATTTTTTTCAACAGACGTTATTTGAGTGCTTATTTTATGTCCCTGGGTCTGAATATTTTCTTTGTAGTTATTTAAAGTAATGAATAAGCAGAAGCAGATATAGATTACCAATTTACATAAAGTAATGTGTTTGTTAATGGGTGTACCTCTAAATTAATATACTGGATTCTTTCAGATAAATATCATTTCACTGTTTTAATAGATAAACAGATGAACTCTATTAGAGGTTAAATAATATTGCCAACGTCATACAGCAAATAGTTGATCCAGACTTGGAACACAAGTCAGCAAAGATTGCGAATCCCTTAATTTTCAGCGATGTCACACTGAGTGACAGGATCTCACAGTTTCACTAACAGAAAAGTTGTTGACATATGTATACTTTAAATTTAATTGTTCATAAGAAACTAACAATTTACATAGACTTGAAATGAATCAGGCATCTAGAAATAAAATGTACTTAAATATGCAATGATGGTCATTTTGGGGACAAAGAGTAAATTTAGTGGCTTACCAGCCACTAAAAATGGGTTTCTGCTGGCTAGAGATGAGACTCAGCCGTGGAATGGGCAGGAAGATTTTAAACGAATGTTCCGCATCCTGTGCATTGGACACAAGACCAGAGCGCTTCAGGCAGTTGCATAATCCGTTACTCCTGGCCACTCACACAGATGGAAGTTATGAAGGGACAAAAAAGTGTGGTATAGAGAATATGGTTTCTGTACTCAGAGACATCTGGATATGAATTCCAATTTCCCCACTCACCCACTGTTTGTTTGAGTAAGTAATGCTAATCCTTAGTTTCCTAACTTGTAAAATTTGGGTAGTAAGAGCTAGCCATAGTGTTATAAAATAATATATATGAAACTCCTACACAGGGCCCAATACACCGTAGGCACTCAGTCCAAAACCCCCACGGTGTTCCAGATGCTTAGCTCACTCCTTTCCTTACAGGCATCTGGAGATGGAGAGCCCCTCATAATAAAAGCTGACTTTTTTTTGAGACAGAGTCCAGTTCTGTCACCCAGGCTGGAGTGCAATGGCGCGATCTCCGCTCACAGCAACCTCCACCACCCGGATTGAAGCGATTCTCTTGCCTCAGCCTCCCGAGTAGCTGGGATTACAGGCATGCGCCACCACGCCCAGCTAATTTTCTATTTTTAGTAGAGACAGGGTTCTCCGCGTTGGTCAGGCTGGTCTCTAACTCCCGATCTCAGGTGATCCGCCCACCTCGGCCTCCTAAATGGGATGACAGGCGTGAGCCACTGGGCACCGCTGGCAAAAGCTGACTTCTATTAAGGGCTTATCACATGACCATAGGTAAAGGAGGGCAAAAATTATCGTTCATTTTACTTCCTTAAATAGGCGATACAAACGAAACAGCGATAAATTCATTGCTTAGGTTTTCCAGAAAAGTTTTTATAGTTTCAGGAATGGCATCTCAAAGGAAAGATAATTCTATGAACTTACCACAGTTTGTTTAACCATTCACTATAGGAAAACATTTGGGTTATTTCCAGCTTTTGGTTAATACAAATAAAGCCACTATGAACAACCGTACACATGTTTTCATGTGAACAGAAATGTTCCATTTCTCTGTAATACTGTAATGCCTAAAACTTTTATTGCTGGGCTGTATGATAGATACGTGTTTAGTTTTATTTAAAAAAAACACATAATTTTATGAAAGCACCGTCTATTTTATAAACACCACGTAGTCTTAAGTCCTGAAGACTTTCTCCTATGTTTATTTTTCTAAAATATTTATAGTTTTAGGCCAGGTGCGGTGGCTCACACCTGTAGTCCTAGCATTTAGGAAGGCTGAGGAGGGCGGATCACCTGAGGTCAGGAATTACCGCGACCAGCCTGGCCAACAAGGTGAAACTCCGTCTCTAGTAAAGATGCAAAGATGAGCCGGGCGTGGTGGTGGGCGCCTGTAATCCCATCTGCTCGGGAGGCTGAGGCAGGATAATTGCTTGAACCCGGAGGCGGAGGTGGCAGTGAGACGAGATGGCGCCACTGCAGTCCAGCCGGGGAGAATTTGTGATCCATTTTTAGTTCATTTTTGGTAAGATGTGAGGTTAAATGTAAAGTTCATTATTTTATCCATGGATGCATAATAATTGTCCCAACACAATTTATTGAAAGGTTACCCTTCCTCCATGTAATTGTTTTTACAGATTCATTGGGCATAATTGTGTGGGTCTGTTTTTGGATTTGCTACTCTGTTCCTGGGTTCTAGGCGTCTCTGCCTCTGCCAGCAATACATTGCATTGTTTTCTGTAGACATATAGCAACACCAGGCACAGGGATTCCTCTCACTTTACTCTTTTGAAAATTGTTTTCACTATTTTTGGTCCTGTGCCTTTCCATATACGTTTTAGAATAAACTTGTTTATGTCTACAAAACATTTTGTTGGGACTTTCGTAAAAATTGTACTAAATCTGTAGGTCAACTTTTGAAGTACTGACATCTTTAATATGTTGAAATTTCCAATTCATGAACATGATATATATCCATTTATTTAGGTCTCCTTTGATTCTTTTCATCAGCATTTTCTAAATTTTAGGATACAGATCTTTTATGTATTTTGTTAAAATTTGTACATAATTTCGTACCTAAATATTTCCTTTTCTATGAGATAATTTTAAATCATATTGTGTTTTAAAGTCCATCTCCACATGTCTGTCGTTAGTATGTTTTTGTGTGTTGATCTTATATCCTAAAAACTTGCTGAATTCACTTAACTAGTTCTACTCAGAAAATCATGTCATCTACAAACTGGGAGTGTTTTAATTTTTCTTTTCTTTTCTTTTTTTTTTTAAATAGAGAACCCACAGTTTAGTTTTATTAAGAGGAAAAAAAAAGAAACTTTCAATCATACCAGAAGAAACTTAGCCATACACTTGGAAACTACTCAGATTGCTCATGCAATGATGACAGTATTCTGCTAACAGAATTGATTTGCTGCTGCATTTGTCTAACATTAGAAACTGTAAACACAGCAGTACAACTAGTGTTTGGAGCTGTCTTTATAGTGTTACAGTGTCAGACACATTTTGCCTCTCATCACACCACAGTTCTCTTAGTGCACCTCAGCTTCCTTCTCTTCCATAAAGTCATTTTGATATTGAAGGACTTGTCAGTTTCCTTAGGAGCTTTCCCCTTGATCATATTGGCAAGAGTGCTGTATGTAACATCAAGGAAACTTGATGTCTAAGTAGTCTGCAGCCAGAATAAGTTTAAAAAGTGCTCCTTGGTCAACTTTAAGGAATTCCTGATCCCAGACAGGAGTATGGTCTGTTCCCCTTTCTTTGTTCTCATCACCCTGGGGAGGAGGAGGGTCGTCCTTGTGGTGAGTGCACCACTGAATGACCTTTTTAAATACTGCTGCATTAATATTTGGTAGAGGAACTAGGTCATCATATCCTTCATCATTCATCATCCACTCAAAATCTTCCAACATGGTTTTGATAATCACAGATTATTTCTCAATTTCCAAATCAACTTCAAATATCTCTCCATCAGAACTCTGCATCACGAATGGGGCAACTTTTTGTTTTTTGTTTTTTGTTTTGAGATGGAGTCTCACTCTGCAGCCCAGGGTGGGGTGCAGTGGCGCGATCTCGGCTCACTGCAAGCTCCGCCTCTCAGGTTCATGCCATTCTCCTGCCTCAGCCTCCCGAGTAGCTGGGACTACAGGCGCCCACCACCACGCCCAGCTAATTTTTTGTATTTTTAGTAGAAACGGGGTTTCACTGTGTTAGCCAGGATGATCTCAATCTCCTGACCTCGTGATCAGCCCGCCTCCGCCTCCCAAAGTGCTGGGATTACGGGCGTGAGCCAAGGTGCCCGGCCACAAATGGGGCAACTTTTCCAAAAGCTGCAACTTCTAGATCAGGAATATACTGTTCTTTGTAAAAGGCAACAGTTTTTTCTTTGCCAGGGGGATTCAGTGATGTGATTCTACCTACATTGTTTCAAGAAATGTTACAAGAAAAATCTAAGCAACACTCTCGAATTTTGGGGACTTATCAGTTATTCCTGCTGATGTGTAGCCAAGGACCCTGAAAAAGATTTTTAACTTGCCAACTAACAAGACATCACTTACACAGTAAAACATTTCAAAGTTAGATTTTAAAAAATACTTTGTAAGCACTTACAGTTCAAACAAGCAACATGTTATTCCAGTTACACATTTTTACAACAATGCATACAGTGAGTCAGCTCAGAGCCTCATTCACAAAATAATTTACCTTCTTATTCCTTTAGGATAAATTTTACCTAAACCTCTGTTAGACATTTTTTTAACAGAAACACAGACCAAGCACTTCATACAGGCACTTCAGGTGCTACTCAGTAGCTGCTAGAACATCCTTTCTATTTAGCTAGAAGCTAAGGGGTTGTTGGGAGAAGGGGCATGGCGGGAGGCAGATAGAAAGAGGAAGCAGCTCCTACCTATCAACAAAGCATTGTATTTACTTTTGGTTTTAAGTGACCATTTTCTAGGTCTCACCAAATGCACTTTTTAATGACAATATTTTAAATTACAAATATGCAATATTCTGCTTAGACCTTAAGAGGCTTTATGAAAATGAAAGCATAACCTTGTTTTCATGGTAAAGGGGATTTTGAATTTTTTTTAAAGCTAAAATAAGTTGAGATACACACGCAGAGACACATGCACACATATATCCAGATTAATGAAGAAATCATATTGTGAAGTCTCTAACATCAGAGGTCTATTTTTAGTGCTAAGGTTAAACAAATAATCAGTAGTTTTCATCTTATTTTAGTTCTGAAATGTATATGCTCTTTTAACCATGAGTACCTTGAAGATCAAAGGGTTACCTAGCATGAAGGGGAACTTTGCTCATCTGTTAAAGATGTCTTCAGAGTTTAAGTGAACTCTATCTTGCAGTCTCTGGGAGGAAAATAGCTTGAAAATGGGCAAAAGAAAGCATGAAAAATCAGACAGGGTACAGTGGCTCACACCTGTAATGCCAGCACTTTGGAAGGCCGAGGTGGAGGGATCACTTGAGGTCAGGAGTTCGAGACCAGCCTGGCCAACATGGTGAAACCCCCATCCCTACTAAAAATACAAAAATGAGCCGGGTGTGATGGCAGGCGCCTGTAATCCCAGCTACTCTGGAGGGTGAGGCAGGAGAATTGCTTGAACCCTGGAAGCAGAGGTTGCAGTGAGCCAAGATCATGCCACTGCACTCCAGCCTGGATGACAGAGCAAGACTGCAACCCCTGCCCCCCAGTAAAGAAAGCGTGAAGATTCGGGCAGTCTGCATAGATGCTATGGAAAAGAAAGACTGGATGCAGGCCAGGTTGGTTTGTTTGTTTTTTCCAAAGTTCATTTATTTATTTATGTATTTATTTATTTTTTCTGTGGTGAAATATGCATAACATAAAATTTGCCACTTTAACCATTTTAAAGTGTGTAATTAAGTGACTTTAAGCATGTGCACAGTGTTACACAAGCATCACTGCTATCTATTACCAGAAATTGTGGATAATCCCAAACAGAAACTGTGTAGTCAAAGTCCCCATATCCCATACTCCCAGCATGGAAGTTGAGACTTCCCTCTTATAGGGCTTCAGAGACAGGATAAAAGACTCTTTACATTCCTCCTCTTGTCATTGGTATTACCCAAGTGAAAGCACGTAGAGATCTCTGGTGGTGGGTGGGGTGCAGACGCATAGATCATGGTAATCTGCGTTCTACTTTCTGCTTCTGTGAATTTACCTATTCTAGGCACTTCATATATGTGGAATCATAAAATATCTGTCACTTTGCCTCTGCCTTATTTCACTTAGCGTAATGTTTCAAGGTTCATTCATGTTGTAGCAAGCACCAGGTATTTCATTCTCTTTTTAAAGCTGAATAATATTCCACGGTGTGTACATGCTGCATTTTGTTTATCCGTTCATCTGTCCACACACTTGGGTTGCTTCCACCTTTTGTTTTTTGTGATTGATGCTGTTGTGCACGATGGTATACAAGTATCTGGTTGGGTCTTTCTTTGGGGTCTGTATCTAGAAGTGGAATTATTGGATCATATGGTAATTCTAATTTTTTGAGGAACCACCAAACTGTCTTTCACAGAGGATGCATCATTTACATTCCCTCCAACAGTTGCACAAGGGTTCCAACTTCTCACCAACACTTGGTATTTTCCATTTTTTTCCAATAACGACCATCCTAAATGGGTATGAATTGGTTTCTAATTGTGGTTTGGCTTTGCAATTCCCTAGTGACCAGGTATGCTGAGCTTCTTTTCATGTGCTTATAGGCTATTTATACATTTTTGGAGAGACGTTGATTCAAGTATTTTGTCAATAAAAAAATTCAGTTAGTTTTATTGCTGTTTTGAATTGCAGAAGTTGTTTATCTATTCTGGATATTAAACTCCTATCAGATATATGCTTTGTAAGTATTTCTGTGAGTTGTGTTTTTACTTTTTTTTTTTTTTTTTGTGACAGAGTCTCGTTCTGTCCCCCAGGCTGGAGTGCAGTGGTGCGATCTCCGCTCACTGCAAGCTCCCCCTCCTGGGTACACGCCATTCTCCTGCCTCAGCCTCCCAAGTAGCTGGGACTACAGGTGCCCACGACCACGCCTGGCTAATTTTTTGTATTTTTAGTAGAGACGGGGTTTCACTGTGTTAGTCAGGATGGTCTCGATCTCCTGACCTCGTGATCCACCCGCCTTGGCCTCCCAAAGTGTTGGGATTACAGGCATGAGCCACCATGCCCAGCCTTTACTCTCTTGCTAGTAGTATCCTTTGATGCAGAAATTTTTTAATTTTGATGAGTCCAATTTCTCTACATTTTTCCTTTTGTTGCCTATTTTGGTGTCATATCTGAGAACACTGACAAATCTAATGTCATGAAGATTTTCCAATAGTTTCTTCTAAGAACTGTATAGTTTTAGCTCCTAAATTTATGTCTTTAATCCATTTTGACTTAATTTTTGTATGTGATATAAGGCAAAGGTCTAATTCATTCATGTGCATGTGAATATCCCGATTTTCCACACCGTTAGTTGAAAAGACAGTCCTTGCCTCGCTGAATAGTCTCAGCACCTTTATTGAAACTCATTTGATCATGTATGTGAGGGTTTATTTCTAAGTGCTGTATTCCATTGCATTCATCTTTGTGTCTATCCTTATGGCAGTACCACAATATTTCATTACCATAGCTTTGTGGTAAGTTTTAAAATCAAGAAGTGTGAGAACTCCAACGTTGTTTCTCTTTTTTAAGATTATTTTGCATATTCTCACTCATAGGTGGGAGTTGAACAATGAGATCACATGGACACAGGAAGGGGAATATCACACTCTGGGGACTGTGGTGGGGTGGGGGGAGGGGGGAGGGATAGCATTGGGAGATATACCTAATGCTAGATGACGAGTTAGTGGGTGCAGCGCACCAGCATGGCTCATGTATACATATGTAACTAACCTGCACAATGTGCACATGTACCCTAAAACTTAAAGTATAATAAAAACAAAACAAAACAAACAAACAAACAAACAAAAAGATTATTTTGGCTATTCAGGTTCCCTTGAGATTCCATATGAATCTTAAAAAGGGTTTTTTGTCTTTTAACCATGAGCATGGGATGTCTTTCCATCTGCTTAATATCTTCTTTAATTGCTTTCAGCAATATTTTGTAGTTTTCAGTGTACAAGTCTTTCACTTCCGTGATCACGTTTATTCCTAGGTATTTTCTGTGATGCTATTGTAAGTGGGAATGTTTTTCTTATTACCTTTGCAGGTTGTTCATTGTTAATGTATAGCAACACAACTGGATTTGCTGATTGATTTTTTACCTGTAACTTTGCTGAATGTGTTTGTTAGATCTAATACTTTTTCCTTGTTTGTTTTTGTGGAATCCTTAGGGTTTTCTACATAAAGATCACCTTAGTGACCAGACATAACATTACTTCTTACTTTCTAATTTCAAGTCCTTTTTAAATTTTTTTCTTGTTCATTTACTTTGGACAGAACACCCAGAGTTATGTTAATTGAAGTGGTAGGAGTGGGCCTCTTTATCTTGTTCAAGATCCTAAGAAAAAAAAAAGTTCAGTCTATTAGCATCAAGTATGATGGTAGCAGGGAGTTTTCTTACATATATAGTGTTTATTATGTTGAAAAAGTTTCCTTCTACTTGTAGTTTATTGAGTTTTTTCTTTTCTAATTATGAGAGGATGTTGATTTTTTTCAAATGCTTTTCCTGAATCAATTGGGATGGTAATATGTTTTTTTTCCTTCCTTCTTTTAATTCAGCTTGCTAGTATTTTCTTTTTTTTTTTTTTTTTCTTTTTTTGAAACAGAGTCTCACTCTGTTGCCCAGGCTTGAGTGCAGTGGCATGATCTCAGCTCACTGCAACCTCTGCCTCCTGGGTTCAAGCAATTCTCCTGCCTCAGCCTCCCAAGTAGCTGGGACTACAGGCCTGTGCCACCACACCCAGCTAACTTTTTATATTTTTAGTAGAGACAGGGTTTCACCATATTGGCCAGGCTGGTCTTGAACTCCTGACCTCGTGATCCACCCATCTCGGCCTCCCAAAGTACTGGGATTACAGGCGTGAGCCACTGCACCTGGCCATCAGTTTGCTAGTATTTTCTTGAGGATTTTGTGACAATATTCCTAAGGGATATTGGTCTGTAGTTTTCTTTTTCTATACTGCCTTTTTCTGGCCTTGGTATCTGGGTAATGCTGGCTTCAAAGAATGAGTTCAAAGAATGGTATCTGGGTAATGCTGGCTTCAGAGAATGTTCTCTCCTCCTCCACTTTTTGGAAGGGTTTGAGAAAGTCTGATGTAAATCTTTCTTTAAAATGTTTGTTAGAATTTACCAGAATAGCCCTCTGATCCAGGCTTTTCTTTGTCAAGAGAAATACTTAACACACTTAAATGTAAGGCACAAGTTGGTAGCTGGTTTCAATCCCATCTCCAGCTGCCTGACTCCAAACATGTATCAACAGACAGCATATGCTATCAGATCCCAGGGAGTCTTCTAATATTCTCTAGCTTGACCCATACAGGCCCTAAATGGGTAGAATAGGATTTGCCTGACCCTTAGGAGAGAGCATATGCAACCAGATTTCAGCAATTTTTATGTCATCCCCTAATCTGTCTCATGCAATCCCATCTAATACTAAATCTTGGAGAGTCTTATCTCTCCTAAACTGCTCCATTTCATCCTTTGTTTGGAGAGCTTGTATCACCCTCCCCTTTTATCCCACCATGTAGGTGAGAACCTGTGCAGGGAATCTATCTTATCCCCAACCTTGTCCACATGGCCCCATATCTTCCAGAGGAACATTGAAGCTGTATTGGCCCATGTAGGGTGGAGTCAGGCACACACAGCAGGCAAGGCCAACAACGAAGTCATTTGGTCTAGAAAGACACACCAAGTTGCTTATAGATTCAAGGAGTTTATTACAGAGACAATGAAAGAAAGAGTAGCCAAAGGTGACAGCTCCCAGCCCTTGTGCCACATGCCTAAAAGGGCACCACTAATGTAAAAAGGGTCAGATAACTGCAACATAACTCGTGGGAGACCACATTCCTGAGGAACAAATTCTAGATGACAGTAAAGGGCATTATGGTCTGTAGCTAAACCCTAGGTAGGAGTAGAGCAGAAAGCATCATTCCACATACCAGCAGGTAATAAGCAACTGTCTTATAACAACCTCCTAAGAGGGATAGGGAGGCAAATGGGTGATGGTATTGAGGCAGCTTCTCCCAAGCCTTTTTCTTATGTTCCAGGAGAATTGCAAGCTGCTATGGCAAGACTCAGATTAGAGGCAGTTCCATTTTTTTTTTTTTTTTTGAGACGGAGTTTCGCTCTGTCATTCAGGCTGGAGTGCAGTCCAAAGTGCTGGGATTACAGGTTTCACCGTGTTGGCCAGGATGGTCTCGATCTCCTGACCTCATGATCTGCCTGCCTCGGCCTCCCAAAGTGCTGGGATTACAGGTGTGAGCCACCGTGCCTGGCCAGCAGTTCAAATCTTTGTTGCTTGTCCTATAGGGATACATACAGAAAGGCCACCATGTGGCTTACGCCTGTAATCCTAGCACTTTGGGAGGCCGAGGTGGGCGGATCACGAGGTCGGGAGATGGACACCATCCTGGCTAACATGGCGAAACCTCGTCTCTACTAAAAATACAAAAATTAACTGGGCGTGGTGGAGGGTGCCTGTAGTCCCAGCTATTCGGGAGACTGAGGCAGGAGAATTGCTTGAACCTGGGAGGTGGAGGGTGGAGGTTGCAGTGAGCCAAGATCGCGCCACTTTACTCCAGCCTGGTGACAGAGTGAGACTGTAAAAAAAAAAAAACAGCCACCCCATGATGGGGCTCTTCCCTTACACATTTCTGTTTATTTTTGCTATCAATTGTTGACAAAAGAGTGTTGAAATCTCTACCCTTTAATTGTGGGTTTGGCTATTTTTTCTTTTTGCACTACAGATTTGCTTAAGGCATTTTAAAGTTCTGTAATTTGGTGCATAAATATTTAGGATTTCGATGTACTCTTTCTGAATTGTCCCCTTTATTGTTAAGCAGTGTTCTCTTCATGCCTGGTAATATTGCTTTATCTGAACTTTATTTTATTTGATATTGAAGTAGCGACTCCAACTTTATTATGTTTAGTATTTTCATGTTGTAATTTTTTGCATTCTTTTACTTCTAACGTATTTCTGTCAAAATAGTATAGTTTCTTTTAGATAGTATATTGTTTGAACTTTTATTAAAGTTTAATGGACTCATTAAAGTTTAATGTCATTTAGGCTTATGATTCAGGGGCATCTACAGTGATTGATCCCATTTAGGTAATGGAAAGAATAGTTTTGTTGTCAGTTTTGCCCAAAAGAAGTTAATATGAGGATTTCATTTGACCAAATCTAAAATTGTCTTTTCTTCTACCTTCAGAAGCATTAAAATCCATGTGGCTGGCCCACATTCTAAATTATTTTTCATTTAAATTGTACTGCACTACAAAACAAGAAGTGATCTTCAGGTAAGTTGGAGCAAAGAGAACCTCCATTGTTCCTTTTTTTTTTTTTTTTTTTTGACAGTCTCGCTCTGTCGCCCAGGCTGAAGTGCAATGGCACAATCCTGGCTCACTGCAACCTCCACCTCCCTGGGCTGAAGAGATCCTTCTGCCTCAGCCTCCTGAGTAGCTGGGACCACAGGCATGCACCACCATGCCTGGCTAATTTTTGTATTTTTTGGTAGAGATGGGGTTTTGCCATGATGGCCAGGCTTGTCTCGAGCTCCTGACCTCAGGTGATCCACCGCCCTCAGCCTCCATTGTTATTACAGGAAGTGTGTGAACAGAAAGGCCCCAGGCGTCATTGATTACCGTCAAAAAGTATCCAGGAGGAAATCCTAGATAATCAGAAGTGGGCACTTGAAAACATTTCTCTCAAGACTCTGCTTTTACAGAACTTTACTTTGGGAAATTTAGAAATGATGTATCTAATGTGGGAGAGTAAGGTGGAAAGTAAGGTACAGAATGTAACTAGGCACCGGCAATATTACTTAAAGCTGACAAACTAATTAGTAAAATTATAATTAACATTACAAATATAAAAACTTAGAAATAAAGGAAACTAAAATTGGAGGTTGAAGAATGAGTTGAAAGATAAACATACTGAGGCCGGGCATGGTGGCTCATGCCTGTAATCCCAGCACTTTGGGAGGCCGAGGCGGGTGGATCACGAGGTCAGGAGATTGAAACCATCCTGGCTAACCCGGTGAAACCTCGTCTCTACTAAAAATACAAAAAATTAGCCAGGCGTGGTTGCGGGCGCCTGTAGTCCCAGCTACTCGGGAGGCTGAGGCAGGTGAATGGCATGAACCCAGGAGGCAGAGCTTGCAGTGAGCTGAGATTGTGCCACTGCACGCCAGCCTGGGCGACAGAGTGAGACTCCATCTCAAAAAAAAGAAAGATAAACATACTGATTTTGTCATTGGTTATGAAATAGGAATTACTAAATAATGTTTAAACAAACATTGTCCTGTTAAAATTGCTCCAAATAATGGGAATGGTCTATACTTGGATTTTCAACACAATAGTTACTTGACACAAGTAGCTATTGGGCACATTAAATGTGGCTAAAGTGACTGAGGAACTGATTTGTTGTTATATTAAATAATAAAGGCAAATAGTTACATGTGGTTCATGACTCTCATCAGGCCACAGAGCTCTAACTAAATAGATAATTATGGAAATTATGTAAGATTCTAGTCAAGAATTATAAAGGGCATGACATTTTACCCTATCTGCAAGCTAACATGTTAGCTTGCCAAGTTTCATGGATTCTGGCAGGAGATACAAGACTTCTGGGTCAAAGACAAAGGATTTTATTGCTCACGGCCACAATCACATCCAGGGCACCAGCATTTTTTTTTGTGTTGTGATGGCATGCAGGGTACACGTATGACAAGCTTTCAGTATAAAATTATTTTTGGAAACAAAACATTTAAAAGGGATTAACAGCTTGTCTAGACTAAAGCAGACCACACTATGGATTTGTAGAGTGGTAGTGTGAACACCAAATGTCCATGCAATTGAGGTAAAACTTTTGTTTTAAGAATGTTGTCTCTTAATTCTTTTATCTACTAGTATCTTAAGCAGTGATTTCGGGGCCATATTAGGTTTTACAGGACTGGCCTAACATTGTTGCCTGGAATGTGGGTAGCAGCAGGATGATAACAGTAGAGTACACACAAGAATTTTTGTAAGAAATCAAAACTAAAAACTCTAAGGAGTATGTCTAAGGCTCTTTGAATCAATAGAAACTAAATATCTTGAAAAGTAGGTGGAAAATGAGTTGAAGATGCATCAGGGAAATGACTGTTTTGGCAAAAATAAGTGAACAGATGGGAAAGAGGAAAATTGTAATTTGGTGGTGAGGATGATCACTGTTGAACAACACTGATATCATAAATAGACAACGGAGCCAAGATAGAGTGATGAACCCAATCCAGAGAAGTGGAAAATGACTTTTACTCCCACCAGTTTCATACTTCTGCTTGTGCATTTATGTCTGTGATGTGATAGGGATATTACAGCTTGGGTTATAAGTCTGTTCTTTAAATATAGGTAACTTTTGACATCCTAAATTTATTTTCATGATGAGTGGAATGGTAAAGAGAGAAGTCCAACCGGAAGTATATGGACTAATGAGTATCCTACCAATGTAATTTTTACTTGACAGTTGGAGAATCTGGACCCTGTTATCCCTCTCTAATCTAAACCCTGTCTCTGATAAAGTCCTGACAATTTTTGTGCACTGATTTTCCTTTTTATTCTACTTACTCTTCACATGTCTTGTTTAGTTCACTATGTTATCTGATTTTCCATTCCTAGAATTAATCTTAAAGACTATTGTTCTCTATTCACTATTTCTTCCCTTTATTTCTCTTTCCCACTGAGTTTTGAAAAATCACATTTTAAAATGCCAAAATACCTGTGTACATTCAATGCCAGTTTCCCAAAGAGAATTTTTCTGAACATATTTCTTTTCCAAATGAAGAAAATATAGAAAATATACACTTGGAATCACTTTATTCTGTGGATAATATGCCAGAAACCAAAATATCTAATCTGTAATAAGGCTTGTGTATATAAGTTTTATTTTATAAGAAAAGATTAAGAGACCTTATTTTTTTATCATTTTTAGAGGACCATCAACTTGATAACATCTTAGAAAAGAGTAAAGAATTAAAAAAACCATTTATTTCAGTTTTATTCACAACTTTGGGGAGTATACTTGCTCCGTAAAGAGCAAAAGTATGTTTCTAGGAAACTATGAGATCTGGGCATAAATATATTTTCTTCAAGAAAACTGCCCTGTAAGTATGCACTGCAGGCCCTCATAACCTGAGTATGAATTCACTGGCCTTGTGTTATCAATATTTAAGAAAAAGAGATGGCTCTCCAATATTAGACATCAGAGAACAAACACTGGAAAGATATCCTGTAAGAATTGTCAAAACTTGAAAGCTCTTAGAGCTGTTGAGTGATGCCAGGGAAAATGGTAAGGTAGAAAGCATCAGGGCTCATCCTCCACAGAAACACACACACAAAAACAGAGCAAAATCTGTCAGAATCAACTTTCTCAGAACTCTGAAAAATAGTCACAGTTTACAGCAACTGAGCAAATGCTACGCCAAAACAGAGGCAACTGAAACATGTGTTTAAGGAAATCTCTGTCAAACCACTAGCTGACCACAAGATAAAGGAACAAAAACTTCAGAGGCTATCTTAGTCCATTTGGGCTTCTGTAACAAAATACAATAAACTGGGTAGTTAATAAACAGCAGAAATTTATTTCTTACAGTTCTGGAGGTTAGAAAGTCCAAGATCAAGGTGCCAGCCTGCCCTTTCATAGACAGTGCCTTCTCACCGTGTCCCTACATGATGGAAGGGGCTACTCAACTCTCTGAAGTTTCTTTTATAAGGACATTAATCCCAATCATGAAGTATCAGCTCTCAAGATCTAATCATTTCCCAAGGCCTCACCTCTTCACACCATTACCTTGGCGGTTAGGATTCCAACATAGGAATTTTGAGGGAAGACATATACCATAGCAGGTGCCATGAAAAACAAAGAATACAGTCTTTAAAAAACTGGTTTATAAAAGTCAGTATACAAATAAGCAACTACAAACCATGGTGAACAACAGTAACAGAACTTTAAAAGAGAAAAACGTATTTTCAGAGTGACCACATTATAACATTTAAAATGTCCAGTTTTCAACAAAATATTCTAAGTCATGCAAAGACATAAGAAAAAAATGGCTAATTTACAGGAAAAGAGAAAAGAGAAAGTATCCTTGAGCAAGAACAGACATTGAACTTTATAGACAAAAACTTTAAATCAAATGTCCTATAGATGCTCAAAGATCTTAAAGGAAACCATGGAAAAGTAACAAAAGGAAAGCAGAATGCAATGTATAAAAACTAGAAAATATCATCAGGGAAGTGGAAACATAAAAGGAACAAAATAAAAATTTAGGAAATGAAATGTACAATATGCAAGATGAAAAGGTCACCAGAGGCTTTCAACAATACATTTGAGCAGGCAGAAGGTAGAATTAACAATCTTGAAGATAAGTCATTTGAAATTCTTCAGTTGGAGAAACAGAAAGAAAAAAGAATAAACAATAATGAACAGAGCTTGAGAGACCTGTGAGGCATCATCAGACATACTAATGTATGCACACTGAGAAAAAAAGGAGGGAAAGAAAATGACTGAAACTTTCCAAATTTGATAATTTAAAATGAATCTACCTATCCTAGAAGCAGCAAAATGGTGCTGGAAAAGTAGATATCTATATGCAAATGAATGAGCTGACCCTTACCTTACACCATATACAAAAATTAACTCAAAATGGATCAGAGACCTAAACGTTAAGTGCTAAAACTCTGCAACTTTAGAACACAATGGAGGAAACTCTTCACAACACTGGATTTGGCAATGGTTCTCTAGATCTGACATAAAATGTACAGGCAGCAAAAGAAAAATAGATACATTGGAATTTATCAAAATTAGTAACTTTTGTGCATCAAAACAGTCTCAGTAGAGTGAAAAGGTAATACACAGACTGGGAGAAAATGTTTGCTAATCACATATCTGATAAGGGATTAATATCTAGAATATATAAATAATTGCTACAATGTGACAACAAAAAGAAACAATCTAGCTTGAAGATGTGCAAAGGACATGAATAGAGACATTTCCCCAAAGAAGATATACAAATGGCTTACAGACACATGAAAAGATAGCCAACATCACCAGTCATGAGGGAAATACAAATCAAAATTGCGAGATACGACTTCACACTGATTAGAATGGTTATTATTTAAAAAAAAAAACAAGTGTTGGTCAGGATGAAGAAAAATTTGAATGCTTGCATATTGCTGGAATGCTATAGCTGCTGTGGGAAACAGCGTAGCAGCTTCTCAAAAATTAAACAGAGAATTACCATATGACCCAGAAATGGCACTTGTGGGAATATATCTAAAGAAATTGAAAGCAGGGACTTGAACAGATATTTATATTCTCGTGTTCCTAACAGCATTATTCACAACAGCTAGCATGTGGAAGTAACCCAAGTGTCCATTAATGGATGAATAGATAAATGAAATATGGTATATACATGCAATGGTGCATATTCAGCCTTAAAATAGAATGAAATTCTGATAGTTGCTATAACATGAGTGAACTCTGAAGACATTATGCTAAGGGAATGAAATAATCCAGTCATAAAGGACAGATATTGTATGATTTCACTTATATGGGGTATCTAAAGTAATCACACCCATAGATACAGAAATTAGAAAGGTGGTTGTCAGGGGGTAGGCGGGGGAAGGAAGAGGAAGTTATGTTTTTTAATGGGTACAGATTTTCAATTAGGGAAGATGAAAAAATTTTGGAGATGGATGGTGGGGATGGTTGCACATCCATGTGAATATTCTTAATTCCACTGAACTGTACACTTAAAATTGGTTAAAATGATAAACTTTAGTTAATGATAAATTTTATGTTATTTTATCTCAAGAAATTCTTACTAAGCTATCATGAATGGATTTAGCAGCCGCTGATGAATATTGCCTACAACCATTATTTCAGGTTGCACGGTGGTGATAGTCTTTTAATCCTTGTGAAATTATTAACTCTATTTTTTCCTACAAAGAAGGCCTTTTCCTCTTTAACTCTGTTACCCTAAAACAGTTTGTACTGCATCACTTTTAATAATAGTCATGATTTTTTAATGATAATCAGTTTCATGCAGTTTGAATGAGCGTCGGGTGATATGGCTTCAAATTCAGAATATTTAAGAATCTCTGCTATTTGAAAAATGTGTGTAATATTTGTGAACTGAGAAAAGAACCCAAAGTAGCTTCAGAATAACAAGAAAATAGTTATTCTAGGCCCGGCGCGGTGGCTCATGCCTGTAATCCCAGCACTTTGGGAGACCGAGGCAGGTGGATCACGAGGTCAGGAGATCGAGACCATCCTGGCTAACACGGTGAAACCCCGTCTCTACTAAAAATACAAAAAATTAGCCGGGCACGGTGGCGGGTGCCTGTAGTCCCAGCTACTTGGGAGGCTGAGGCAGGAGAATGGTGTGAACCCAGGATGTGGAGCTTGCAGTGAGCCAAGATCATGCCACTGCACTCCAGCCCGGGCAACAGAGCGAGACTGTCTCAAAAAAATAGAAAGAAAAAGAAAATAGTTATTCTAGCCAGCCAGATTCGTAAGCAGCCATTCTGGTGGGTTTGTAAAGGGATAGTCATTCTTATTCTCTCTCAGTCGCACTCTCCATTGCTCTGATTACTCTTGTCTTGGTCTAGTTGGCCTGGGAGTGACGGACATTTTCACAAATTAACTTCTTGATTTGAATAAGAAATAATTACTTTAAAAAAAGGAAAGGACCCATATCACTTTGCCTTCTTCATCACTGAGGTTTGCTTGACAGTCTAGCTCAGACAAAAGAGAAGGTGTTTGCTAGCCTGGCTTGTGGTAGGCACTTCTCAGAGTAAAGCCAAAGGAACATTCTTAATGGCTTCAAGTGTCTGCACTTGACTTTTATGTCTTCCTCAAATGGGATAAAATCTTTCCCATAGTGAGCGCTGGTTTTCCTGAGTGGGGGCTTACCCTCCATTCTATTCTGCACATGATCTCTTCCCTCCCACCTTTTGAGCGTGAGTGTCAGTGTTACCTCTTCAGAGAAGCGCCTGCCAACTATGAGAATTCCTGTCCTTGTCTTCTGCTCTGTTGTCTCTCATCATAGTCCTTATCATCTCCACCTCTAGATGCTAAGCTAGGGGAAGGTAGGTAATGTCTTGTTAATTACCAGAAATCCACTGCCTGGTAGTATCTAGCAGATTTAGGTCCTTGTTCCTTTCTCAAGAAATATTTGAGCACATATATGCTCAGTGAGACAAAGACAAGCTCCCTGTCCTCAGGAAGTTGCCATTTTGTTGTAGTCAACATACTTAGGATACTTTGTGTAGTGAGAGAACTATGAGAAAAAAGAAAGATAATAACAGAGGTGAGTAGTGCTACTATGGATGGTCACAGACTCAATTAGCTTAAATTCTTTGATAAGATACTTCATGGAATAAAGTAGAAGCCTGGAAGCAAGTCTGACTGAACTTCACAAAGACCTGTTCTTACAGCATAAAGCAATGCAATTCAAAACACAATAAACAGACTTTGGTTTCTGGTCTGACATGCAATGAGTTTGGAAGTCATTATTCTTATCTTCTGCAATAATAAGGTTGAACAAACTGAAAACTAACAACTCTTCTTAGCTCGAGTAGAGAATTGAGATCATGGGACAAACTGTTATCAGGACAACTGGAGAAACAGACAGGCAGATACAGAGAATCACAGCTTACCAGGAGCAGATTCCCAGAGGGAGATGTCCACAGCAGTACGGGTAGCAACATTTTAAACTGTAATTCGTAAATTGCTAGAGGCTCAATGTGGACTAAATTTAGAGTTAAGAACTCAGAAGAAACCTGGTCTTGGAGGCAGCCCCAACACTTCGCAGAGTTTTACTTGCAAGATCCCTACCAGGTTCTCAGTATGGAGATCAGAGAAAATTCCTTTGATGATTTTTCTCAGGGTGGAGGGGAAAAGTAACCATTTTTGAGACGTGCTCAGAGCTCTCTGCTCCCCTTAACAAGGCCCACACTCAGGGGAACTACTTTACCAGAACCCAGCCTAAAGGATTTTTATGAAAACCTAAGTGACCTGGGGAAGGCAATCCCCAACCCCAGCCCCCTTCAGACTTTAACACGGAGGAAAAGAAATACATAACTTCAGTTCACTAAAAGACTGGGATCTAATCAGAGGATTATAGAAGGCTTGCCCTCCTCACACTCATTACTACTGCATCAGTAGAGCTCCTGCATGATAGCCTGGAATTACAGTTAAAAGAACTGCAGGCTCAGACCCTATTTCTGGAGTCTATGAACACCCAAAGACAAGATGGGAGACAGAAACAAGGACACTAGAGGAAACTTTTGCTTTTGACTTCACAGCTACCACAAACAGGAAACACAGTTTAACTCTTAGCCAGATAAACATTAAACTTTACATTAAAGATCTATCTACTGCAGTTCCTTTTATCTGATACATAGTATTCGGCTTCCAATAAAAATTGCAGTGCATTAAAAGGCAAAAATAACACAATCTGAAGAAACAAAGCAAGCATCAGAACTGGACTCAGAATTGGCAGAGGTTTTGGAATTACCAGACTTGAAATGTAAAATGACTCTGATTAATATGCTAAGGGCTATAATGGAAAAAGCGAATACCATGCAAGAACTGATGGATAATGTAAACAGGGAGATGTAAGCTCTAAGAAAGATTCAAAAGTAAATGTTACAATTCAAAAACGATGAAACAAAAATGAAGACTGCTTTCATGTGCTCATCAGTAGATGGCATATAACTGAGAAAGACTCTGTGAGCTCAAAGATATGTCAATATATACTGCCAAACGTTAAATGCAAAGAGATAAAAGATTTTTTAAAAACAGAACAGAATATCCAAGAAGGTGAGATAATTACAAAAGTAACATACATATAATGGGAATACCAAAAAGAGAGGAAAAATGAAGATAAGAAATAGTTGAAGTAATAATGGCTGATAATTTTTGAAAATTAATAACAGGCACCAAACTATAGACCAGGAAACTAAGAGAACACTTATCAGGATAAATATCAGATAACATACACCTAAACATATCATATTCAAACTGTAGAAAAATAAAAAACAAAGAGAAAATCTTGAAAGGAGGTGGGTCGGGGGAGGGGATGTTACATGTTGTGAAACAGAGTAGCAACCACATCAGACTTCTCTTCAGAAAGCAGGCGAGTGACAGTGGAGTGAAATATTTAGTGTTGGCCGTGGATCACGGCTGTAGTCCCAGCACTTTGGGAGGCCAAGGTGGGTGGATCATGAGGTCAGGGGATTGAGACCATCCTGGCTAACACAGTGAAACCCCGTCTCTACTAAAAATACAAAAAAAAATTAGCCAGGCATGGTGGCGGACGCCTGTAGTCCCAGCTACTCGGGAGGCTGAGGCAGGAGAATGGTGTGAACCCGGGAGGTGGAGCTTGCAGTGAGCCAAGATCGTGCCACTGCACTCCAGCCTGGGCAACAGAGCAAGATTCTGTCTCAAAAAAAAAAAAAAAAAATTTTTAGTGTTGACAGAAAAAAATTTGTCAACTTAGAATTTCACATCCAATGAACAACTCTGTGCCCACAAATTCTATAACATAGATGAAATGGACCAATTCCTTAGAAGACAAATATACCAAAACTCACACAAATAAGAAATAGACTACTTCAGTAGGCCTATATCTATTAAAGAAATGGAATTAATAATTAATAACTTTTTATAAAAAGCTCCAAGCCAATATAGTTTCACTGGTGAATTCTGCCAAACATTAAGACAGAAATTCTCTACAATCTTTTCAGTAAAATAGAGGGGATGCTTTCTAACTAATTCTATAAGCCAGCAGTGGCCTAAGATTAAAATCAGACAAACATATTAAAAGATAAGAAAACAATAGACCAATGTTTCTCATGAATATGGAAGCAAAATCCCTCAACAAAATATTAGCAAATAGAATTCAACAATATTTAAAAGGAATTATATACCATAATTTGGATTTATCTCAGGTATGTATGCACAGCTGTTTCAACATAGAAAATCAATTAATCTGGCCTGGGCATGGTGGCTCACACCTGTAATCCCAGCATTTTGGGAGGCCAAGGCAGGCAGATCACGAGGTCAGGAGTTTGAGACCAGCCTGACCAACATGGTGAAATCCCGTCTCTACTAAAAATACAAAAATTAGCTGGGCATGGTGGTGTGCATCTGTAGTCCCAGCTACTCAGGAGGCTGAGGCAGGCGAATCACTTGAACCCGGAAGGCAGAGGTTGCAGTGAGCCAAGATCACGCCACTGTACTCCAGCCTGGTTAACAGAATGAGACTCCATCTCAAAAAAAAAAAAAAGGAAAAAGAAAATAAATTAATCTAATCCATCTTGTCAACTGGTTAAAGAAAAAAATCATACAATCATATCAATAAACACAGAAAATGCATTGGACAAAATCCAATCCCCATTTATGATAAATACTCTCAGCAAACAAGGAATAGAGGGAAGCTCCTCAACTTGATAAATAACATTTACAGAAAACTCATAGCTGACATCATAGTTAAATGCTGAGAAAGAAAATGCCCCTAAGATAGTAATCAAGGGAAGGATGTCCCCTCTCACCACACCTATTCAACATCATACTGAAAGTCCTAGCTAATGGAACAAAACACGAAAATGAAGTAAAAAGCCTACAGATAGGGAAGGAAGAAATAAAACTATCTTTGTTTGCAAATGATATGATTGTCCCTGTAGGAAACCCCAGAGTTGACAGACAAACATCTGGAACTAAGTGATTATTAGCAAGATTGCAGCATACAAGCTTATTATACAAAAGTCAATTACATTCCTATAAGCCAACAATGAAAATTGGAATTTGAAATTTAAAACACACAATTTATATTATCATTAAAACAATGAAATACTTAGGTATAAATCTAACAATATGCATGCAAGATCTATATGAGGAAAAGTACAAAACTCAGATGAAAGAAAGAAATAACTAAATAAATGGAGAGATATTCCATGTTAATGGATAGGAAGATTCAATATTGTTAAGATGTTAGTTCCTACCAACTTGATCAATAGATTCAACACAATCTCAATAAAATATCAGCAAGTTATTTTGTAGACATCAACAAAATGATTCTAAAGTTTATATGGAAATGCAAAAGACCCAGATAGTCAACTCAATATTGAAGAAAAAGTCAGAAGACTAATACCACCTGGCTTCAAAAATTACTATAAAGCTACAGTGATCAAGGCAGTGTCATGTTGGTGAAATAACTGACAAGTATTAATAGATCAATGGAACAAAATAGAGAACCCAGAAAAAGACCTACACAAGTATCAGCAACTGATCTTTGACAAAAGAACAAAGGCAATACAGTGGAGAAAAGATAGCCTTTTCTACAAATGTTGCTGGCACAATGTGAAATAAAAAAAGTTATGCTCCAAAGTTGCTTCCACATTTTCAGGTATCTTTATAGCAGTACCCCACTCCTGGTTCCAAATTCTGTATTAATCCATTCTCACACTGCTATAAACAGCTACCTGAGATGGGGTAATTTATGATGAAAAGAGGTTTAATTGACTCATAGTTCTGTAGGCTTACCAGGAAGCATGACTGGGAGGCCTCAGGAAACTAACAATCATGCCAGAAAGTGAAGGGGAAGCAATCACATCTTTACCATGGCAAAGCAAAAGAGAGAACGAAGGGGGAAGTGCCACACACTTTTAAACCATCAGATCTTGTGAGAATCCACTATCACCAGAACAGCAAGGGGGAAATCTGTTCCATGATCCAATCGCCTCCCATCAGGCCCCTCCTTTAATTTGACATGAGATTTGGGCGGGGACACAAATCCAAACCATATCAGGCAGTGAAACTATTTTTTATGATACTGTAATGGTGGATATTACATCATTGCATTGGTGGAAATCGCACTAAAAGACATGCATTTGGCAAAACTCAGAACTGTAGAACAGACAGAATGAAAGCTAATATAAACTATGTATTTTAAATGTACTAAACTAATGCAATATATTAATAATAGGGGAAACTGTGTGTGGGTTGATGAGCGGAGGTATATGGGAACTCTGTGCTTTCTGCTCAATATTTCTGTATACCTAAAACTGCTCTGTACATCTATTAATATCCCAGCACTTTGGGAGGCTGAGGTGGACAGATCGCTTGACCCCAGTAGTTTGAGACCAGCCTGGGCAACATAGTGAAACCCCATCTCTACAAAAAAAAAATACAAAAGGCCAGGCACAGTGGCCCACGCCTGTAATCCCAGCACTTTGGGAGGCCGAGGCAAGGTGGATTACCTAAGTTCAGGAGTTTGAGACCAGCTTGGCCAACATGGTGAAACCCTGTCTCTACTAAAAATGCAAAAAATTATCTGGGCGTGGTGGCACATGCCTGTAATCCCAGCTACTTGGGAGGCTGAGGCAGGGAATCGTTTGAACCCAGGGGGCGGAGGTTGTGGTGAGCCGAGAATTGCACTGCAGCCTAGGCAACAAGAGTGAAAATCCGTCTCGAAAGAAAAAAAAAAATTAGCCAGGCATGGTGGCCCACACCTGCAGTCTCAGCTACTCAGGAGGCTGAAGTGGGAGAGTAGCTTGAGCCCGGAGACGGAGGTTGCAGTGGGCCGAGACAGCGCCACTGCACTCCAGCCTGGGCGGCAGAGCAAAACCCATCTCAAAAAAATAAAATAAAATAAAATAAAATAAGAAAAGTCTATCAATTAAAAATTAAAAAAAAGTTATAGTACCTATCTATTCCTAATTCTTTAAACAGTCAGATGGGTATACACGTTTCAAAAAAGGTTTCCTCATGAAAATGCAAGGTTGGTGTAATAATCATTTTCATATTTTGGGTTGCATGTGTTTTCACGCATCACATATGTATTTTGAACAGCTAGCTTCCTCCTCCAACCCCCATAAACCCTGCTGATCACAGATGTTACTCGTTTATGTTTTCTAGTATTTGTTCGATTTCACAACCTTATTCATAAAGCTATTTTTATGTACTTTTACTTCCCTTGGCAACTTTGAATTTAACGGCATACTTCCGAAGGGATAGTAAAGCCTCTCCACTCCCCCTGCACTGCACTGCCCCACACGTCTTTTACTGAGTATGAAAAAAAAAAAAAATCAGACCCTCAGAATGGTAGAAAATAGTAAAATGAGCATCATAAGCACGTATTATACAGATTTAACAATTCTTCACTTATTACTATATCTGCTTTCATTGTTTTGAGAAATTTTTAAAGTATTTCAATTAAACTACAAGCATACAATTGTAAATGTTTCTGTACATATCTTTTAAATATAAGAACAATGTCCTACATCGTCTAGCTATTATTCTCAAAGTAACGGTAATTTTCTTTAATATTTCTAATGTCCTGTCGATAGTCATGTTTCCCCAATTGTTAATGTCTGTTTCAGGTGCTTTTTTCTCCAACCAGGATCGCATCAAGAACCACGCTTCGCAGTTTGTGGTCATGCTGACAACCTCCGGGAATTTGGGAAATCCCTGGGCTCCGAAGGTCCCTCCCAGCCGGTCAAAGCAGCAGAAAAAATTATAGTACTTCCTTCGGACGCACGGGCTTACGGGAACTGTAGTTTTCAATGTTAACGCGCCTACCGCGCAGCACTTTGGGAATGGGGCTTCGGGGCTCGCTCTGCGCATGTGTAAACCCAGCCCCACCTCCTGCCGTCTGCCCTCCCGGGCCTGAAAGGGACACGGTGTCCGAGTCTTTAGGTCTGCGCGGGAGCCCAGGCTGCGCACCTGGGGTGAGAGCGTCGGTGACAGGGCTCCGCGCGGCCCAGGAACCTGGGGACGGGCGGGCTTGTGTGCGGAGGACAGCAGCAGGCAGTCTCAGGAGTCCCCAGGATGGCCCTCCCCTCTCCTCCCCGGCCCAGTGCGCGGGCCCAGGCCGAGTCCTGTCCGCAGGTGTAGGGGCTGCCGGGCCCCGCGGGGTTGCGGGCCGGGAAGAGGAATGTGCGTGGATGAGGTTGACGGCGAACAGGAGGAGGTTACTAGCAACTCGTGTTCCTATTCTGAAAATTAAATAAGTTGTCACCTGTAAAGCATTTTGTTAAGTGTCTGTAATAGTCACTATGTGAAATGTAAGCTGCTCTCACAATTATGAGACACTTATTCTCATCGTTTGGTATTTCACCTGACCCTCACAACGACCTCTTTGGTATAAACGTGCCATTTTAAAAAAATGGACGAAAGTTCATGGGGATGGGTACCCCAGGGCACACACTAGTAGGTGAGAGAGGTGAGATGCAAATGCTGAGAGATGCAAATGCAGGACTCCCTGTCCTGCTCGTTCTAACATGCTGTCTGCCTGAAACCCAGACTTGCCAGTACCTGCCTAAAGCCTTCAGAGCGCTTATGCAGAGTGGCCTGTCACCAGATCTGTGTAGATGATTGTGAAGTAAATGTGGACAGAATCTCACCAAGTGGTAGATACATTCTGCGATTTGTCGGGTCTCTGATTCAGGCTGAGGCTCCTGAATCCTCTTGTACTGTTCCCGCTGTCTCCTCAAAGGCACAGATTGATATTCTGGTGCTGTGCTGTCCAATAGAAAGATAAGGCAAAACACAAATATAAATCAGAATTTTTGGCCAGGCGCGGTGGCTCATGCCTGTAATCCCAGCACTTTGGGAGGCCTAGGCCAGTGGATCACTTGAGGCCAGGAGTTCGAGACCAGCCTGGCCATCATGGCAAAAGCCCATCTCTACAAAAATAAAAAAATTAGCCGGGCGTGGTGGTGCACTCCTGTAATCCCAGCTACTTGGGAGGCTGAGGCAGGAGAATCGCTCGAACCCGAGGCGGAGGCTGCAGTGAGCCGAGATTGCACCACTGCACTCCAGCCTGAGTGACAGAGTGAGACTCTGTCTCAAAAAAGAAAAAAAAGTTTAGAATTTTTCAGTAGCTACAGTAAAAAGAAGAGGCAGACAAAGTCAGTTTTACTGCTTTATTTTACTTCCTAAATATTCGACTTGTAGCACTGGCCAAACTTCAGGTGTTCAATGGTTCTATGTGGCTGATGGCTGCAGTGCTGGATAGCACATTTCTAGTGAATCTCAAGAGTCAGGTTTAGGGTATTAGGTGAAGGTTTCAATTGAGTTTGTTTCTCAGGCCTAAGTCCCAGCCCCTCTGGAGCAAAGCAGCTCCTATGAGGCAGTCAAGAGGGAGTCCTAGGGCCTACTGCCATAGAAGAACAGCCCATATGACGGAGACCTCTTCTAGAGCGTCAGAGCAGAGGCAGAAGATTCTAGAAAGGAGCAGGTCCTGATTGCTTCCCCAGAGGCAGTTGTTGACTCCTTATATATGCATCAGATTTCGTGATGTTGCCACATCCAGAAGCCATCACAGACCGTGTGACTTTGCTGTGGACTAACTTGCAGAAGGCAATTCCCAGGGGTTGAGAGGGATGAGTGACTATCAAGCTGGGTGGAAAAAGACACTTTACTGGAGGGCTGGTTAGGTCATGATATCCAGGGAAGATGTAATCAGCTGTCCAGATCCCAAACGGCAGCCTAGTTTCCTTTCTGCCTTCACTTCTTCCACATTGTGAGTCCCTCTCACACCGTGTTCATCACCACATGTGGCATTTAGAGTGATACTAATGCTGCCTCTTTCCGGGTAGTAGAGGAAGAATTTCCTATATTGGAAGCCCAAAAATATTGGGCCTGAAATTCCTTGCATAAAACATCCTATCTTTATTTTTTCCGTGGAAGTGCTAATTCTGGGTGTAAAGGCAGTAAGAACTTGATTAAGTCAGCCTGAGTAGTTCTTTTTTAAAAAAATTATTTTAAAATTTATTTATTTTATATTTTTTTCTATTTTTAGTAGAGACAGGATTTCGCCATGTTGACCAGGCTGGTCTTGAACTCTTGGCCTCCAGCAGTTCACCCCCCTCGGCCTCCCAAACTGCTGGGATTACAGGCATGATCCACCACACCCGGCTGAATAGTTCTTTGACATTAGCTTTAATGAAGGTAAACAGCTTCATCTCTGTGTACCTGAACTTGCTTAATCCTTTGTTTTATTTTTACTTTTTTCTTAGTCAAAAGGGAACATAATTGTTAATAAATCAACATAATTATTAGTAAATCAACAAAAAACAGTATTACTTTACTCAGTGAAAATGTAAGTTTAAGCGCACATAATCGTATCAGAGATGCACATATTCAGGTGTGGCTATCTTTGAGTGGTCTTTCTTGTCCCTTTTCAAGAGTCAAAGGGACATTCTGCATTGGGAATCCTTTTCTCCAGCTGAGTGCGATGATTTTTTTTTTAGGCACATGAATAGGATTACATGCTCCTTGATTACAGTGGGGTTATGTCGCAGTAAAACCATTATCAAGTCGAACCATCTCATGTCAGGGACCATCTCTGTAAGAACTGAGAGGCAGACCAGGTCTCTCATGACCCCACTGCTCTTTCCTCCTCCCCAGCTGAACCTCCACAGTCCTCTACACTCTTCCAGGAGCAGCAGAAAATGAACATGTCTCAGGTGAGTTAGGTTTTTAAAAACCAGTTTATTTTACAATAGGTTTTGTAAGGGTTTATGTGTCCGTACATTAACATGGAAAAGTAGAAATAGAGATGGATCAGACACATTCCTAGAAGATGTAGAAATGCAGATGAATAGCAGAGCAAAGTGGCATGTGGATAGATGCAGATCCTCCGATGTTACAAATTTACCAAATTAAGCTTCAGATTTATTTCTGAGGTTATTGACAGTCATGGTGGAGTGTCAGACAGACAATACTTAAAGGTTTACATTGATGAGAAAGATAAAGCCAACTGATTTATCATGGAATATAAACATAAAGATAACAAAATGTATTTATTGTTCTTCAAGTAGGTGACTTAGTTAATAAATTGCCAAATAACAGAATATTACTTCTTCAATAGAAGTAGAAATTGTAATGCTAAATTTGAACACGTTCAGTACTATTTTTCAAGTACTCCAGTGCAAGGGTTGAATTTAACATTTTTCTGATGAATCAACTGAATGTCTTTAAAATCACTCTCCATAAATATTTTGAGTACCCATGATATTCAGGTTGCTCAGCAGATGGTCCAAAATTGTTCTCTTTCAGATATTTCCACACTTAGCATTTAACGTCAACTCTCCATGGGATGCCTTGATTTTTTCTTGCCACTTGCCTGGGACCTCCAGTGTCCCTACCCATAGTATAATCAAATCCAGTGGACGTGGTCTTTTCCTTAACTTGCTTGGCTTTTCCGCAGCACTTGCCTCAATGTCTCACTCTGTCCTGGAACATTTCCGTTAGTGATACTTGCCCCTCACTGGTCCTTCCCCGGCTGATGTCTTCATGGAGCCACCTTCCTTGTCCTGTCACTCGGCTCAGCCTCAGTTTCTGTCCTTGGCTCTTTAGTCTTCTCTGTTGTCTCCAAATGATTTTGTCTTCCCTTGTTTTTTTCTTTTTTTAAAACTGCTTTTTTTTGAGATTCAATTCATGTATCTTACCATGTACCCATTTAAAGTGTAGAATTCAGTGATTTTTTTTAGTACATTCTCAGATAATGTGCTAATATCACTGCAGTCAATTTTAGAACATTTTTATTCCCTTAGAAAGAAGCTGTGTACACTGTAACTACCATTTGATTCCCTCTGAGCCCCAAACAACCACTAACCTACTCCTCTATCTCCATAGTTTTGCTGAACCACTCCCTTTATTATTTCTTATAGGCAGTCTTGCCTGTGATGAATTCTCTCAGGTTTTGTTTACCTGGGAAAATTCCAGTTTCTCTATTTTTCCTGGATATAGAGGTTATTGGTTGACAGTCTTTGTTTCAGCACTTTGAATATGTCATCCCATTGCCCTCTGTCCTCCATAGTTTCTCATTATAAATCAGCCTGTAATACGATGACTTGTTTCTCTGTTACAGCTTTCCGATTGTCTGTCTTTTTAACACTCTGATTCTCATGTCCAGGTGTGGATTTCTCTTTTCTTTTTTCTTTTCTCTTTTTCTTTTCTTTCTTTCTTTTTTTTTTTTTTTTTTTTTTGAGAGACAGTCTCTCGCTCTGTCACCCAGGCTGGAGTGCAGTGGCATGATCTCGGCTCATTGTAACCTCCACCTTCTGGGTTCAAGCAATCCTTGTGCCTCAGCCTCCTAAGTAGCTGGGATTCCAGACATTCACCACCATGTCTGGTTAATTTTAGTATTTTTAGTAGAGATGGGGTTTTACCATGTTGGCCAGGCTGGTCTTGAACTCTTGGCCTCAAGTGATCTGCCTACCTCCTAAAGTGTTGAGATTACAGGTGTGAGCCACTGCTCCCAGCGAGTGTGGATTTCTTTCTCCAAGTTTATCCTACTTAAAGTTTGTGAAGCATTTTGGGCATGTAGATTTATCATTTATTTCAGATTTGTGGGGTTTTTTGGCCATTACTACTTCTGATATTGTTTTAGACCCTTTCTGTCTCCATTCTGTTAGTCTATTTGGCATATGTTGATAAGCTTGATGCTGTCCAACTGTTCATTTCTTGTTATTTTTCCTTCTGTTTCTCACTGCATAATCTCAGTGGGCATGTTGTCCAGTTGCTTCATTCTACCCGTTCAGACCTGCTGTTGAACAGGTGTTTTTGGTAAAATATTTGTTTTAGTTTTGTACTTTCCAACTTTAGAGTTTCTATTTGGTCCCTTTTTATAGTTTCTGTCTATTTATATCCTTTATCTGGTGAGATATTATTCTAATACTTTCCTTTGGTCCTTACATATCATTTCCTCTAAGTCTTTGACCATATGTAACATAGTTGATTTAAAGTCATCGTCTGTTTAAGTCCAATGCCTGCTTCCTCGTGAGTAGTTTCTATTGATTGTACTTTTTTCCTGCATATGGGTCTTACTTGTTGTTTCTTTTCTTGTTTTGCATTTTTTGTTGAAAACTATACATTTTAAATACGGTGGCAACTCTAGAAAACTTTCTTGATTTGCAGGAGTTGTTGTTGAAATTTGTCTAGTGACTTTTTAATTGATTCAGTAGAGCCTGTGTTTATTGTCATGTGTGGCCGCAGAAGTCTGCAGAAATTTTCTTAAATGCCTGAAACCTTAAGTAAGGCTCTCAGTCTTTGCCAAAGAGCCTCATGAGTGCTGGGGCATTCCTTCAACAGACATCCAGGCAATTTATAACCCCATGTTAACCTTCACTTCCTTCACTTCCAGTTCACCCCAAACCCTAGGGTCACCCAGGGTGACAGTTTAGGGCCTTCTCACATCTTTCCAGAGCATAATCACAGCCCTGGGCATATGCTCAGCTCTATGCATGTAGGTGACCTAGAGTCTCTAGAATCTATAGGAGCTTTTCAAAAGCTTTATGAACATCCCATTCTCCAGTTTTTCCTTTCTAAAAAGCTTTTCAATTAGGCTGTTATTTATGTCAGGTGTTATCCACCGCCTCAGTTAGCTGCTGAGTTAAACAATTGCCTTTGAATGTTTTTGGCAAATGCCTTCAAGAATAAGGCTTTTCACACTGGGGAACTCTGACTTAATTCAATCAGCCTTTCAAGTCAGCTCTTCCAGGGAACCACAGATTAGGTCAGATAATGAGGGTTTTCTGGGAGTGAGGCTTTGGCCAACCTGTGACCCAGTCTGCCTCATCCAGTGGATACCAGGCCGCTGGATTCTCCTGTTGTTTCAGATGTTTCTCAAAGCTAATGCCGAGTGGGAGTGAGAGGGATGGATATAGGGCAGGTTGAAATGACACAAGATCATTGTTCTTACTGTGATGCAGCTGTTTTTCTCATATCAATGTTCCGCAGATTGCTGTAAGCCTTTGGTAGCTTCTAGAGTTCTGAAAAAGTTGATTCTGCAGTTTTTGCCGGTTTCTCGTTGCTTTTATGGAAGAAGGAATTTTCTTGGATCTTCAGTATCTTCACCGTCATCACTTGCTAATTTGAATTTGAAGTCTTCTTGTTGTGGAAACTTTCTCTTTTCTCAATTTCTAAGACTCTGCCCCCTCCTGATTCTGTTATTATTTTTTGGAAAACATCTCTGGCTTTGTGGCCTGTACTTTTTCTGCTTTGTGGTTCCTCAGGTGTTGTTTTTGGTTCTTTTCTTTCTTCAATCCCTGTGTGCTCAAGGAGCTGTCTGTCTCTGCTAATTTTACTCACCACCTAAATTGCTAGTAAATCCTAAATGCTTATCTTCATCCCCATCTTACCTTCTGTGTTCTAAAATCATATGTATCCTGGTTGAACGAACAGTTCTAGCTACGTATCAACATGAACAGAACTCTCACTGAATCTTCTAACACGTTTTCTTCTTTCCCAGATACCAGTTTTGGCACCACCAAGCAGCTGCTTATTTTGAAATATACATTACTTTATTTTTCACTCTAGTCATCATCCTGTGCAATAGCTCAAAAACTATTCCTCTTATGTAACTGAAACTCTGTGCCCTTGGACCAATGCTTCCCCATTCCTCACCCCTCACCCCCAGCCTCTGGTAACCACCATTCTACTGTCTACATCTATGAGTTTGAACTTTTTAGGTTCCACATATAAGTGACTATAATTTGAAATATTTGTCTTTCTGTCAATTAAAAACAAAATTTTTTTAAAAGGAGCTTCTCATACAGCTAGATTGAGTAGCTGTACAATAAAGTATTGTATTAAATGGGTGTTGCTTCTCTTCTGTGATTATATCCCTATTCTTACATCCATTGCTGTGACCTCAGTGTAGAAAGTGTTCTTTTGTGCCAGTCTCTTTGGTTACAACTATTGTAGCTGTTCTCTGCTCTTCACCTGCTCTACCCTATATAAAGTTTGGTCAGGGTATCTCCAGACTTCACATATATCTCTTCCTTAGCCCCCAGAATTTACAGTGATGATGTCCAGGGAGGGTGTGAATGTCCTAGAGACTACCCCGGATAATTTGCGGAGATGTGGAAGAAGGAAGGAGGTGGTTGGAAGGAAGTTGTTTTACATTGATTTTTTTTTGTCTTACAAAAACCTAGAATTCATAAATACATAGAGAAATTATGGCAAGTTAAAAAATGTTTTGAGTTACATATGTTAAGACAATTTTGGGTCTAAAATAGGCCTTTATAACCATTCATTTTAGTAGTAGCTCTCAAAGATATTTTCTGTGTCACCCAATTCTGAACCCTTGAACAAACCGTTGTTATATTTGTTGTGATAAATGTTGTTACAGGCATCAGTGTCATTCCAGGACGTGACTGTAGAATTCACCCGGGAGGAGTGGCAGCACCTGGGCCCTGTCGAGAGGACGCTGTACAGAGATGTGATGCTGGAGAACTACAGCCACCTCGTCTCAGTGGGTGAGCATAGCTTACCATGGGGCTCTCTCGAGAATACATGTCCCTTTTTAAAAACTATCAAAACACATGGACCCTTTATAGAGATTAAAGGGCTTTGGATTAAAAGGTCTGAAGTAGTTGAAACCTTTACAGAAACAAAAGCAACATGTCATTACTTTCCCATTAAAAATTTCAAATGAACACCCTCAGTTAATGCTTTGCTGCCATATCTTTTTTTTCCCTTTGGAAATCCAAAAGCCTGTGAATCTGGTCCATGTCAATTATTTTGTTTACAGGATATTGCATTACTAAACCCAAGGTGATCTCCAAGTTGGAGAAAGGAGAAGAGCCATGGTCTTTAGAAGATGAATTCCTGAACCAGAGGTACCCAGGTGAGTGGGCATTAACAGAAGTACCTGGGGGTACTTAGTCTTTAGAGGGAGAGCACCTTTGAAAGTTTTTTTGGAACAGCTTTATTGAGATATAATTCACATGCCTACAATTCACTCCTTTAAAGTGTACAGGTCAGTGACTTCAAGCAACCACAGATCAAAACTATTCAGGGAAGAAATATTGCACTTTCATTCACCATGTATAGACATTTTTTTCCTGTCACTATTCCCTGAACAATATAGTATAACAACTATGTACATGGCATTTACATTGTATTAGGTAGCATAATTAATATGGTGATGATTTAAAGTATGCAAGAGGATGTGCATAGGTTATATGCAAATACTATGCCATTTTGTATCAAGGACTTGGGCATTTGTGGATTTTGGTATTTAAGAGAATCCTGGAACCAATTCCCCATGGATACCAGGGGATGACTGTATATGCAGACATCACCACAGTTAATTTTCATCACCTCAAACATACGTGTACCCTTTAGTTATCACTGTCCCATCCCCCCTGCCCTCTGCAGCCCTAGGTAACCACAGTCTACTTCTGTGTCTATAAATATGCCTATTTTAGACATTTTGTATAAATTGGATCATATATGTGGTCTTTTGTGATTGGTTTATTTTGCCTAGCATAATGTTTACAACTGATATAAAATACATGTTTCATTCTTTTTATGGCCAAATAATGTCCCGTTGTATGGATGTACCACCTGTTTGTCCATTTATCAGTCAGTAGATATTTGGGATTCCACCTACAAATAATGCTAATATAAACATTTATTTACAGGTTTCTGCATGGACAATTGGTTTTATTTCTCTTGTGTATATTCCTAGGAGTGAAACTGCTGGGTCATATGGTATCTGTGTCTTTATCTGTTTGAGGAACCACCAGACGGTTTTTCTAAATGCAGCATTTTTCTGTTCCTAACAACAGCATATGGGGGTTCTGATTTCTCCACATCCTCACCAATGCTTGTTATTGTTTGACTTTTTGATTCTAGCCACCCCAGTGGATGTGAACTGATATCTCACTGTGGTTTTGATGTACATTTCTGTATTAGTCAGCTAGGGCTATCATAATAAAATACCATAGGCTGGGTAGTTTAAACAACAGAAATTCTCATGATTCTGGAGGCTGGGAGTCCAAAATGAAAGTACTAATAAGTTGGTTTCTGGTGAAGCGTCTCTTCCTGGCTTGAAGACAGCCACTTTCTTGCTGTGTGTTCATGTGGCCTTTCCTCTGTGCACATGCAGTGGGAGAGAGAGAATACTCTGGTGTTTCTTCCGCTTCTTATAAAGATATCAGTACTACTGGATTAGGGTCCTTTCCTGTGACCTCATTTTTACCCTTTTTGCCTCCTTGAAGGCCTTGTCTGCAAATACAGTTACACTGGGGGTTAGGGCTTCAAGATAAGAATTTGGGAAGGACACAAACAAGTCTATAACAATTTCCCTGGTCACTAATGATATCAGGCATCTTTTTATATGCCTATTAGGCTTTGTACAAATAAATGATTCCAGAAATCTTAAAAAGTTATAGTTTTCAATGTCATTTTTAGAATAAAAAAGTAAAATCATCTTATTAGAAGTGAAGCACAATTAAGGTTTTTGTTTGAAGCCATACCAACAAATAGCATCACATAAAGAGTGACATAATTTAGATCAAGTATGTTGCTGAGTCACTAAATGTAAATTATTGGATCATATTGATTGTCTAAAAAGGATATCCCTAAATAAGTAACATAGAAAGATCATTATAAAAGATCAGTAAAGTTGGGCCAGGCGTGGTGGCTCATGCCTGTAATCCCAGCACTTTGGGAGGCCAAGGCAGACGGATCACGAGGTCAGGAGATGGAGACCATCCTGGCTAACACGGTGAAACCCTGTCTCTACTAAAAATACAGAAAATTAGCCAGGCGCCTGTAGTCTCAGCTACTTGGGAGGCTGAGGCAGGAGAATGGTGTGAACCCAGGAGGCAGAGCTTGCAGTGAGCCGAGATAGCACCACTGCACTCCGGCCTGGGCAAAAGAGCGAGACTCAGTCCCAAAAAATTAAAAAAAAAAAAAAATCAGTAAAGTTGTTGAGTCAATAAAGATAAAATAATGTAGGTTTCATGTTCTATATCATTCAGATTTGAATTCAGGCAAGAAATTCATTAAAGTAGGAAAAGCTCTCATTCAAGAGCACAGGGAAATGAAAACCTTTAAGGATTTGAATGAGTGCACCAAATAATATAATATCAATGTTTCTAAAACATAAAATAATGGAGTTCTAAGAACTTAAAACTCATTAGAATTAGGACATCATAATGTCTCATCTGATTAAACAGTAGGTACAGTGGACATTAAATAAATATGCCTAGAGAGGCTATAAATTACATTTGTATTAAAGTGAACCATACATTTGTGTATATGTATGCTAATGCAAAAAACAAAACTTTCATGTTTTAATTGAATAATGATAAAATAGAGTATACTATTAGTCTAAAGAGAAAACCTCAATAAATCTAACAAATTAGAATAAACACAAACAGTATTCTCTGAACCTAGTTTGATAAATCTAGAAATTAATAATAAAATGAAAAAAATCCACTTGAAAAAATTTTAGTATCTCTTTTAAACAATATACAAAAAAGTGTAATGCAATTTTGGATTTGATTTCTGTAATGAAATAATTGTAACTGCAAGTTAGAAACCATCAGGTATAGCTAAAGTAGTGGACAGAAGGAAGTTCGTAGTCTCATTAATTAAGCAAGAACAGCATCAAAAATACAATAGTGAAAACAGAAGAATTTAAAAGTAAAATTAAAAATAAAATGGAAAACAGAAATGGAATGTTTCTTACAAGAAAAATAAAATGAATTAAACTTCAGCTAACTCTATCAAAGAAAAAAGAGAGGAAACACCTATATAATAAATTCAAGTCAGGATACATCTGTAAAGAGGTAACGCTATACCAAACACAATCCCATTCATAAAAACGAGTGATACAGGAGGATTTGCTGCTCTACCAGATATTGAGGCTTTATGTAAAGTGCTGTGTAGCTAAGTAGCATGGAGCTGGGGGGTGGGATGATTTAGTAAATTAGTGAAACAGAGTAGAAAGTTAAAGAAAAAAACATGAGGCCAGGCGTGGTGGCTCATGCCTGTAATCCCAGCACTTTGGGAGGCCAAGGTGGGTGGATCACAAGGTCAGGAGATGGAGACCCGTCTCTACTGAAAATACAAAAAAATCAGCCAGGCGTGATGGCAGGTGCCTGTAGTCCCAGCTACTTGGGAAGCTGAGGCAGGAGAATGGCGTGAACCCAGGAGGCAGAGCTTGCATTGAGCCGAGATTGCACCACTGCACTCCAGCCTGGGCGACAGAGCAAGACCCCATCTCAAAAAAAAAAAAAAAAAAAAGAGAAAAGAAAAAACATATACTTGATAGACATCTTAGATAGATGACACTGGAGAACAATGAGGAAAGGATCTTGAGGTATCCATATAGATCAAAACAAAACAAAAAGTCGAATTCAGTTGGCTTAAGACCTAATTATCAAAACAAAAGTAGAAATATTCTAGAAGATCATATAGAATAGGTTAATGACTCTTCTTAGGGAAGGATTTAATAAAATACAGAATGCATTACCCAGGGGAAGGATGGAGTAAATGTATTCCTTTCTACTCTACCCACTAAGTGCAGCTAAATATCTGTATATAGAAGCATGCCTCAGAGATATTGCAGTTTCTGTTCCAGACCACTACAATGAAGCAAATTTCACAATAAAGCAAGTTACACACAATGTTTGTTTTCCTAGGGCTTATAAAAGTTTTATGTTTACACTATACTTTAGTCTTTTAGATGTGCAATAACATGTCTAAAAAACAGTATGCATGCCTTAATTAAAATATTTGTTTGCTAAAAACTGCTGAGTCAAACACAAAGTGAGCACTTGCTGTTGGAAAAATGGCACCAACAGACTTGCCCAACTCAGGTTTGCCACAAACCTTCAGTTTGTAAAGAATGCAATATCTAGCCAGGCACAGTGGCTCACACTTGTAATCTCAGAACCTTGGGAGGCCGAGGCAGGCAGACCACTTGAGGCCAGGAGTTTAACGAGCCTAGCCAACATGGCAAAACCCTGTCTCTACTAAAAATACAAAAAAATTAGCCAATCATGGTGGCTCGTGCCTGTAATCCCAGCTGCTTGGGAGACTGAGGCACGAGAATTGCTTGAATCTGGGAGGTGGAGGTTATGGTGAGCTGAGATCACACTACTGAAGGGTGGAAAGAAGAATGAAGATGCACTAGGGGTCTTGGCACCTGACAAAATACAAGGTGGTTAGTGTTATCAGAGTCCTTGTGGGGCTCCTGATCTTTCACCCATGCCCAGGGTTAATGTAGAAGCCTCAGCTAGGCACGGTGGCTCACACCTGTAATCCTAGCATTTTGGGAGGCCGAGGCGGGTGGATCACCTGAGGTCAGGAGTTCGAGACCAGCCTGACCAACGTTGCAAAACCCCGTCTCTACTAAAAGTACAAAAATTAGCCAGGCGTGGTGGCAGGTGCCTGTAATCCCAGCTACTCAGGAGGCTGAGGCAGGAGAATCGCTTGAACTCGGGAGGCAGAGGTTGCAGTGAGCCAAGATTGCGCCACTCCATTCCAGCCTGGGCGACGAGAGAAACTGTCTCAAAAGGAAGGAAAAAAAAAAAAAAAGTAGAAGCCTCCTCTTCCACCCCCAGGGCGTCAGATCAGTGGGGAACTGGACTTCCTTCCCCACGTAGCAGGCAGTGATGCTGCACCTCACTCCCGCTAGTATAACTTTAGAGGAGGCTCACTAAAACTGAATATTAATTTTGATAAAGTCCAACTTACTTGTTTTCTTTTACAGAACCTGCTTTTGTTGTTCTATCTAGAAACCTTGAAACTCAAAGTAACAGATTTAGGAATCCTATTTTCTTCTAGAAATTTTACAGCTTCAGTTTTTACACTTAGTTGATAATCCATTTTGTGTTAAATTCTATAGAAAGTATGAGTTATGTGTCAAGTTAAATGTTTTTGGAACAGGGAGTCCAGTTATTCCAGCATCACTTTTTGAAAAGACTGTTACTTCTCCACTGAACAGCATTTCCACCTTTCTTAGAAAACAGATGGCTGTACATTTGGGGGTCTATTTTTGTAGTTTATATTCCTTTTCATTCATCTACATGTCTTTCCTTATGCCAATACCACATTAACTTGATTACTCTAGCTTATTAAGTTTTGAAGTCAAGTACTTCTCCAGTTTTCATCTTGTGTATAAATTTTTAAATGAGGTTCATAATCTTTACAAAGGAAACATGTTGGCATTTAAACTGGAGTGGCATTGAATCTGCAGAACTTAGGAGAATTGACATCTTAACAATGTACAGTCTTCCAGTCCATACACAAAATATCCCTACTGATTTATTTACTGTTTCTTTGATTTCTTTCATCAATGTCTTTTAGTTTTTAGAACACAGATAACGAGGCTTTTTTAATTTTTGTTTTTAATTTTGTTTTGGTGCTGTAATATTGTTTCTGTGATTTAAAATTCCAATTCATCATTGTATGTTTGTAGGCATAGATTTGTATATTGGCCTTAGATTCTGCCCTTGCTAAAAACACTTATTAGTTCAAGGAACTTTTTTGATTTTAAATTTTCTGTGTAAATTTACTCTGTATCTTTGTGTTTTTATTCTTACCTTTTTGCACTGGCTGGTCCTTCCAGTGCAATCTTGTGTAAAGCTACTGGTAGTGGGCATCTTTGTCTTTTTCCTGATCTTAGAGGGAAGACATTCAGTCTCTCTTGAGTATAATGTTAGTGATAGGCTTTTTATAGATTACTTTTATTAAATTAACAAATGGATTTTGAATTTTGTTAAAATTTTTGGCATTGATGTAGTGTGTGATTTTAGTTCTTCAGACTAATGATAGGAGATTACATTGACCTGAAATGCAGCATAAAAACTATAGTTTTTATAGTATTGCAGTGTAGTAACTGTTTGGCATTTTTGAGGTAAATTTCACTGATACATTATCTATGTTTATATATTTCGGTGTACTTTTTGGGACATTTTTGCATTTATGTTATGGGAGATATTGGTCTGAAAGTTTCTTTTCTTGAATAGTATTTGCCTAATCTTGCTATGAGGATGAGGCAGGCCTTATAAAATGATTTGGGAAATATTCCATCTTTTATTTTCTAGAAGACATTGTGTAGGATTGGTATTATTTCTTCCTTGGATATTTGGTAAAATTTACTAGTTAAAACTATTTGGTCCAGAAGTTGTTCTTTGGAATTGCACACACACACACACACACACACACACATACACATATATAGAGGAAGATTTCATTACATTCTTAAGCCTTATTTACATATGCAAACATAGTTAAAATTTGAGTAAATTAGACATTCAGTTAACATATCCTCCATCATAATGAAGTAAGTTAATATGTTGTCGTAAATATCCTTTTCACCGACAGCTCCTTTAGAAAAAAATGTCTTTTAGATTATTCTGCCATTATGTTTTAACATTTGACATAGAATATATTCCCTGTGGTTACAATACACATTCACCTGCCTCTTCTTTCCACTTAGATTGTCCAAATAAAGTTAGTTTGCTTTTATAGTTAAAAAAAAAAAAGAGAGAGAGACTAGAATGCTGTTACAAAACGGTGTCAGAGCTAGCTACTTCACTTTTCACCATGTAAGGATATAACAAGAAGTGAGTGGTCTGTAAACCAGAAGAGGTCTTCACAAGAACACAGTCATGTTGGCACCCTAATCTCAGACTTCCAGTCTCCTGCACTGGGAAAAATAAATGTTTATTCTTTAAGCCATTTAGTCTATGGTAATTTGTTGTAGTAGCCCGAACTAAGACAGAGTTATTGTTAATGTTGTTTTATTATCTCTTGAATGTCTGTTAGTAGTTAGTCCTCTCTTGAATTTTTGGTATTGGTAATTTGTGTCTTCTCTTTTTTTCTCTCTGATGGTTTTTATCATTAAAAAAACTTTTTAAAAAATTAAGCTTTTGGTTTGACTTTTTTGTCATCCTTCTACTTTCTTTCAACTTAATGTCCTGTCTTTATCTAGTTTCCTAAGGGGGAAACAAGCATCTGACTGGAGATCTTTCTTTTCAAATATAATTTTTTTAAAGACAGAGTCTCACTCTGTCACCCAGGCTGGAGTACCGTGGCTCACTGCACCTCCACATCCCGAGTTCAAGCAATTCTCCTGCCCCAGCCTCCTGAGTAGCTGGGATTACAGGTGTGCACCACCACACTCGGCTAACTTTTGTATTTTTAGTAGAGAAGGGGTTTCACCATGTTGGTCAGGCTGGTCTCAAACTCCTGACCTTGTGATCCACACACCTCAGCCTCTCAAAGTGATGGGATTACAGGCGTGAGCCACCGCATCTGGCCAAAAAAATTTAAGCCCCAAATTTATCTATGTGTACTGCCTTAGCTGCATCCACAAATTTCTGTATTCTAAGTTGTTTTGTTTACATTCACTTCAAAATATCTCATTTGAGAATTCTTTCACCCATGGGTTAATTAGGAATGTATAACTTACAGTTCTTTTGTATTTCTCCAGATAAATTTGTGTTTACTGATTTCTGGTATAATTTCTCTGTGGCCCAAGATCATCCTCTGTATAATTTATTTCTTCTATATTTCTGAAGGTTTGTCTTACAGTCTAGAATATAGTCTGTTTTGATGATTGTTCCATGTGCATTTCAGAAGAATGTGAATTCAGCTGTTGAATGCATTGTGTCTTCAGGTTTGAAGCCATGGTTATTGCAAGTGCTACTTTATCTTATCTCTTCTGCTTGAGTATTGGGTCTACTGTGTATTCCTGCCTCTCCTCTTACTTCTGTGCTTCTTTTTTTCTTGTTTCCTTCCCATAGCTGCTATGAGTTCCTGTCAGTGCCCTAAAACAACTTATTATATTCTTGCCCTTGCAGATTAAGACATTTGTTCCATAAATTAGATAATAATTTGGTTCTAGGCAGAATTTTGGTAGTGGCTGCTGTGACCGTCTCCCAGCATATCCTAAGAATGGAACTTTCTCAGGATTCTTCATGGCTCATGGAAGAAAACATATAAGAGCATGCAGATCCTGTGTATCTACGGCAGGGAACATTAGCTCCCTGCTCAGCCTCCATGGAACCACAGGATTGTATCATTTTGGTTTGGCCTGAGCATGAGAAAACATCAAAAGTGTTTCCTGTTCTGTTAGACCACCATTTTCTCAGACCTCTGGCTGGAAGAAGCAGGCTTTTCTTTGTGCTCTTTTTGTCTGTGCCTGTCAGTGCAGGATTGTAGGTTTCTTCAGCACCCAGTCTAGGATATAGAATAGCCTTGGAATTCCATACTGTGTCATTTCTTAAGTCCTGAAGTCCACTTTCTTTCCATTTTGTAGTATTCGTATATTTGTATATTTGTTAATCTTTTTTTGTTGTTTTGTTTTTTCTCTAGGGATTTTTAATTGTAAGAGGGAAGATGTGGGAAGAAAGGGGTTACTACTCCACCTTGACTGGCCCCGGAAATAATACCTGTTTTATAAACAGCATGGATGAGGAGAGAATCTGTCTGTGTGCATGAAGTATTTAATATTTGGAAACATGACCAGAAACAATAGAATAAAATACATAACAAAACAGGGGCCGGGCACAGTGGCTCATGCCTGTAATCCCAGCACTTTGGGAGGTCAAGGCAGGAGGATCGCTTGAGCTCAGGAGTTTAAGATCAGCCTGGGCAATGTAGCAAGACCCTCTCTCCACTAAATATAAAAAAAATTAACAGGACATGGTGGCATATCCCTGTAGTCCCATCTAGTAGGGAGGCTGAAGTGGGAGGATCACTTGAGCCTAGGAGTTCAAGGCTGCAGTGAGCTATGATCATGCCACTGCACTCCAGCCTGGGTGACAGAGCAATACCCTATTTCAAAAACCAAAACCAAAACCAAAATATGAGTATAAGTTCTTCTCCATGAGAAATGTAAGATTTATACTATATTTTCAATTTTTCTCATTTTAGGATATTTTAAAGTTGATCACATCAAAGGGATCCGGGAAAAACAAGAAAAACCTCTGTGGCAAGAAATATTCATCAGTGATGCTGACAAAACATTGAGTAAAGAAGGACAGAAAGTTTTAGAAAAACTATTTAATCTGGAAATAGCTCCAGAGCTTTCAGAAAAAATATCCTGTAAATGTGACTCACACAGAATGAATTTGCCAGTTGCTTCTCAATTAATTATAAGTGAAAGAAAATATTCAAGAAAGAAGACTGAATACATGAATGTGTGTGAGAAACTGCAGCTTGATATTAAGCATGAGAAAGCTCATGCTGAAGAGAAATCTTATGAACATGGTGAAAATGCTAAAGCTTTCAGTTATAAGAAAGGTCAGCATTGGAAATTTCAAACTTTGGAGGAATCTTTTGAATGTGATGGATCTGGACAAGGTTTATATGATAAGACAATTTGTATTACACCTCAGAGTTTTCTAACAGGAGAAAAGTCCTGTAAGGATGATGAATTTAGAAAAAAACTTTGATAAAACCACTTTATTTAACCACATGAGAACTGACAAAAGGGGGAAATGCTCTGATCTTAATGAATATGGGACATCCTGTGACAAAACCACCGCTGTTGAATACAATAAAGTTCACATGGCTATGACACACTATGAGTGTAATGAAAGGGGGATTAATTTCAGTAGGAAGTCACCCCTCACTCAATCTCAGAGAACTATTACAGGATGGAGTGCTTTTGAAAGCAATAAATGTGAAGAAAATTTTAGCCAGAGCTCAGCCCATATAGTACATCAGAAAACACAAGCTGGAGATAAATTTGGTGAACATAATGAATGTACAGATGCCCTCTACCAGAAATTAGACTTTACAGCACATCAGAGAATTCACACAGACTTTACAGCACATCAGAAATTCTACCTTTCTGATGAACATGGGAAATGCAGAAAATCCTTTTACTGGAAAGCACACCTCATTCAGCATGAGAGGCCCCACTCAGGAGAGAAAACTTACCAATATGAGGAATGTGCAAAATCCTTTTGTTCAAGTTCACATCCTATTCAGCATCCTGGAACTTATGTGGGATTCAAACTTTATGAATGTAATGAATGTGGGAAAGCTTTCTGTCAGAATTCAAACCTCAGTAAACATCTGAGAATTCACACAAAAGAGAAACCTTGTGATAACAATGGCTGTGGGAGATCTTACAAGTCACCCCTCATAGGACACCAGAAAACAGATGCAGAGATGGAACTCTGTGGTGGCAGTGAATATGGGAAGACATCACATCTCAAAGGACATCAGAGAATTCTCATGGGGGAGAAACCCTATGAATGTATTGAATGTGGGAAAACTTTCTCCAAGACATCACATCTCAGAGCACATCAGAGAATTCACACAGGTGAAAAACCCTATGAATGTGTTGAATGTGAGAAAACTTTCTCTCACAAGACACACCTCAGTGTACATCAGAGAGTTCACACAGGGGAGAAACCCTATGAATGTAATGACTGTGGGAAATCTTTTACCTATAACTCAGCCCTGAGAGCACATCAAAGAATTCACACAGGTGAGAAGCCCTATGAATGCAGTGACTGTGAGAAAACTTTTGCCCATAATTCAGCCCTCAGAGCACATCATAGAATTCACACGGGGGAGAAACCTTATGAATGTAATGAATGTGGAAGGTCTTTTGCCCATATTTCTGTTCTCAAGGCACATCAAAGAATTCACACAAGGGAGAAACCCTATGAATGTAATGAATGTGGGAGATCTTTCACCTACAATTCAGCCCTGAGAGCACATCAGAGAATTCACACAGGTAGAAAACCCTATGAATGTAGTGACTGTGAGAAAACTTTTGCCCATAATTCAGCCCTCAAAATACATCAGAGAATTCACACGGGGGAGAAACCCTATAAATGTAATGAATGTGAGAAAACATTTGCCCATAATTCAGCCCTTAGAGCACATCAGAATATCCACACAGGGGAGAAACTCTATGAATGTAGTGAATGTGGAAAAACTTTTTTCCAGAAGACACGCCTCAGTACACATCGGAGAATTCACACAGGGGAGAAACCCTATGAATGTAGCAAGTGTGGGAAAACTTTCTCCCAGAAATCATACCTCAGTGGACATGAGAGAATTCACACAGGGGAAAAACCGTATGAATGTAACGTATGTGGGAAAACTTTTGTCTATAAGGCAGCCCTCATAGTGCATCAAAGAATTCACACAGGGGAGAAACCCTATGAATGTAACGAATGTGGGAAAACTTTCTCCCAAAGAACACACCTCTGTGCACATCAGAGAATTCATACTGGGGAAAAACCCTATGAGTGTAATGAATGTGGGAAAACGTTTGCTGATAATTCAGCCCTCAGGGCACATCACAGAATTCACACAGGGGAGAAACCCTATGAATGTAATGACTGTGGGAAGACTTTCTCCAAGACATCACATCTCAGAGCACATCTTAGAACTCGCTCAGGGGAGAAGCCCTATGAATGCAGTGAATGTGGGAAAACCTTCTCTGAGAAGTCATATGTTAGTGCACATCAGAGAGTTCATACGGGGGAGAAACCCTATGAATGTAATGTATGTGGGAAGCCATTTGCCCATAATTCAACCCTCAGAGTACATCAAAGAATTCACACAGGGGAGAAATCCTATGAATGTAATGATTGTGGGAAAACGTTCTCCCAGAAATCACACCTTAGTGCACACCAGAGAATTCACACAGGGGAGAAACCCTATGAGTGTAATGAATGCGGGAAAGCTTTTGCCCAAAATTCAACTCTCAGAGTACACCAGAGAATTCACACAGGGGAGAAACCCTATGAATGTGATGAATGTGGGAAAACTTTTGTCCGTAAGGCAGCTCTTAGGGTACATCACACCAGAATGCATACCAGAGAGAAAACCCTAGCATGTAATGGATTTGGGAAGTCCTGAGGGAATGCATACCTTACCACATAACACGTAGTGCAGAAACTCATGTGACATAGGCTGGGAACTTGTTTCCCTTATCCATTTCCTTTTTCATTAGGCTCATAGTTTGTGGAAAAATCCCAATATGCCGTTTATTCAGGTGGGGCTGACCATGGGATATGGTGCTAATGATATATATTACATTTACTCTTGGCCCTTAAAAAAAAAAAAGAAAAACCCTCACAGTCTTCCTGGTTCATAATATGGATTTGGAGGTTATTTCTGCAGCAAACTTGGGTCCTGTGTGTTCAAAACCATAAAGCACAAGGTCAAGGAAGCTAGAGTCTGAAAAACGAACAATTCACTTCCAGGTCTTCATCAGGGTTTTGTTTTTGTTGCTTTAAAGCAAGAGTTAAGTTTATAGTCTGTTAAGCTCTTACAAATTTGGCTTATTAGTTAAATGGACGTAGTTTAGCTTAAACTTTATGTTAGAGTGAGATGAAACCCTATGAATATAATCAGTTTTAGAAAAACTAATCAGTTTATTGTGCATCAGAGACGTCACATGAAGAAGAAAACTTGTTGACATCCAGGATGATCAGGAGCCTTCATTAAAACAGAAATTTTAGGGAAAACCACAAAAACCTTCGTAAAGTGAATTGCATTAAACATCAATTATAATAAAATTTCATATTTTGAATAAATGACATTTTTCCTAGGTATTTTTTTCTGAGGAAATATGTCAGTTTTAGAATTGGAGATAAAATATTCACCTAGAACTGATGTACCAAGCTTCTGTTTTGTAATATCAAAAATTTTATAGAACATATATAAGAAAATATTTACCTATAGAAAAACTCACTGTAGAATGTGAAGTTAAAAATGGAATAATTTGAATTCTGTGGAGAATATGAATAAATGTGAATAGTTTGAGCTCTGTGGAAGATCTTTTAGTCTGTATATAAACGTTGTAACTCACTGGTGAGTTCTAGTGGGTGCTAACAGCCAAACCTGCACTGGGCATGTCCACTTCCTTTTCTGAGTGACTGTGTCCTCTGTTGGCTTCCCTCAATGCTGTTAGATTTTGGCCTGCCTGCTATGTCTGGATATTAATTAGTCTTGTCCTAAAACTAGTCTTGCCTATTCTTCTAGGACCTTGGAGATAGCTGAGATTTCCCCAGTCACCTTGTGTGTTTGTGTGTTTGGAGGGGGGCGCCAGGGAGGACAGGGTGATTCTTATATACTTTTTGTTTGCCTTTATTTTAATTTTATCCCACTCCACTTACTCATTTTGCACAGGATGATTATAAAGCAACTGGTCTCCTCTCCTCCATTGTATGCATATAGCCTCAGCATCCTGTTTGGAATATTTTCCTCCAACATCATGATGCCTCCTCACACTGCATCACAAACCAGAAATACCAGTTTGGTATTTCTACCAAACTAAGACAGCAGGTTTTGGAATTGGAATGAAAAGGACTACTTTGTCCCAGAAGTACAGTCCTGGTACGAGAAAGCAGACTCACTTTTGGTAAAACAATATAATGTGGCATAATCTTAGCCAAGAAAGCATTTAGTTAATGTGCCATTATTTTAGCCTACGGTTTGATGAGCACAGAAAAGAAAGTAGACAAAATCATTTTTAAAACCTAGACCAGTAACAATTTTCCCCAGCCCTGAGCATCTTGCTTTCTGCAAGTTTGATCTGATAGGTTAAGCATGAGGACAATAAATCAGTTGACCCAAGAAAAATGTCTCTAATTCCCATCCCTTGTTATATTGTGGGCAAGGATAGTGTGAGGGAGAATGATGGCATCTTTAGAATTAGTTAGAGGACAGGTATTTCCTTGACACTGTTGTTAACAGTTAATTGAGTAGCATCACTGCAAAGATGAGCCATGAAAGAAGAGCCCACCTTTAGACGAGGACCATATCAGCACCTCCAGGGCTGGCACATCAGACACTGAGGGGCTACTTTGGGCAGCTCATGAGGAAAAAGGAATGATGAAGGAGTTGGTGTGGGACTGGCCCTGGCGCTGCTTACCTTCCTCAGGTACTTACCGCTCCTGGCAGAAAGGTGCCATCTGTTATGGAAATATGTTTCCTTCTTTTTTATTCTCCTTAGTCTCTGATACCATGATGCTACTTGAGCTTACTGCACAGTGCCCAAGGGAATTGAGGGTCAAAAAGCATGCCTTTCTGCATGCTTAATTTTCAGAAAAGTATAGATGAAAAGGAGTACTCTTTTTTAAAAGAATTATTTGAGAATGTATTTACAGAAAAATTACAATGATAGTTTGTATATACTCCTCACCCAGTTTTCCCTATTAGCATATTACTATGGTATGTTTTTATAACTAAGAAACATTGATAACATTATTAACTAGACACTTTTTTTTTCAGATTTCACTAGTTTTTCCTTATTGTGCTTTTCTACTTCATGATCATGTTTGGGCTCAGAAAAGGATACGCTAAAGTGAAGGCCTCAGAAGCTACGTTTTCTCTGTCAGTTATGGACAGGTAACTCCCTAGGCAGTGAAGCAAGTGACACCTTGAGAAATGGCCACAAGGCCTAAAACTACAGAACTGCCACATTACAAAAAAATGTGGTACTTTAACAGTGGCAATTAAACAACAGTCAATTGCTAAGGAAGGCTCACAAGGCCCAAAATGACAGTGCTTAAATATCTACCATTTATTAAGGGAAAGGGTACAACATAGCAATACCATTAAAGTCAGTATTTACATCACAGCCAAAGGCTGCCTCACAGCAAGGGGTCTGGGTAAGGGCCATGCACAAACTCCATTTTTCCTTGTGCAAGTGTTATATGGACACAATTTCACTATCACATAAGGATTCAACATGTGCACAAAACACATCAGAAACCCCAAAATGGATTCTCTGCTGGTGTCTCTTATACTCTGCTGGACACATAGGCATATTCTTGCTAGGCAACAAGCCCCAACAGCAGAGGACTCTGAAGGTTCCAATGAGACCAGGCATAAATCAGTCTCACTGTTAACGGTAAACACTACTGATGCACTGTTAAAACCTGCTCCCAAACATCTTGGACTCATGGATGAAAAGCAGCACTATTAATCAGTATGTTTTATTCCTTGACCAATGATCAGTGATAAGCAAACTCTGCAGTTCACACTAATTCCAGGTCTGCTGGGCTTACCTTTTACAGCATTCCACTCTACCCCATAATTTTTGGTCAGAGCCTTTTACAACAAAACAATCACTCTTAGTTTGATGGAATCATTTGGCTTTCAACAGCATATAATCAATTGGTGATCAAAACGCACATACAGGTTTGAAAGAATTGTAATCACCCCTGAGGGGTCGTGAATTTAAACCATCCTGTAATGCCAACAGGAAGTGCCACATATTTTATACATTTTTCTTCTCCCTGATCTTCAGCTATCTGTATTGTATGATATACATCAATTGAGATTTATACTTCTATTAGTATACATTTATACTAATTGAATTCTCTGTGAAACAAGAACCATATGAGACAGCCACATTAGTATTGTTTCACAGAGTCATTGCCTGAGCTCCAATCTGTTTATTGATTAGAAGGACATAGATCAATAGTGGAAGTATATTTATTAGATTGGTCATTTTACAGCTTCTTCATTTTTTTAAAGTGGAAGAAGTTTTGGCAGTCTTTTGCCCCAGAGGACATCTGAGTCAAAGCTAAGAGAGCATGTTATTCACTTGTTGTAAACCTCTCTTAGGACATCAAAATTATCTTTGATTTTTCCCTTTTGTAAGACACACTTGCTGGCTCTCTTCACTCAGCCTGATTCACTTTTCTCTCATTTATCATTAATTTTAAAACAAACCTTTCCTCCTGAAGTCAGTAACTCATTTGGCTATAGTGACAGTAGCAAGATGAGACATGCCAGGACTTCTTCATTTGTCCATTCGCACACATATGGGGATGGATTGGATAAGTGCAGAGAAATAATGGCTACTCCGCCCAATAGGCAGCACAGCATTTGCATAGGCAGTCCCAACTTGCCGAGATGCAGACAGAGTATCATCCACCCCATTAATCTCTTTGGAATTCTTGTCATTAGTCAAAGTAATAGGCATACTGTCTGGTTTTGTAATATTACCAGACACTTGGACCTTAATTTTAGCCCCATTATAGGGACTTCCAGATCCAGCATTGGAAACAACAAAATTGTTGTGAAGTAGAGAAGAGTTGTATATAAATTCCCTTTTATTTTCTACCTTCTCCAATGCCACCACAAAAACATACCCATTTATCCAACCAAGACCCATCCTTAGTCCTCTCACGGTGAGTTGAAAAACCGTACTGGAGATTCGTAGATCAGCTCTCGGCTCTCCAATCCTTTGTCAGATCTCATATTTTTAAGCAAATATTTTAATTACTCATTTCAATTGTTTATCAAACCATTACTTTGAGGTTAATATGGAATACAATATTTCTTTCCACAGCATTGCACTGCATGGGCAGTCAAGTGAGTAACTTCATCTGAAGAAATGTAACAAACAGGATAAACTGATACAGAATATTTTGTACTGGTCCTTTGATAATATTAGAAGCATTCAGTCATTGGCTACTTGAAGCTAACCCCAGAAAATGTATCAAGTTCTGTCAATATCCAATTAACTTCATTCAGAACAATCAATACTCATTTAACTATACCAAGAGTAAGCAATACTTAACAGTTAGTTACTAGAACCTCCAATGAAAATTTAGGTGTTACTCTTGCTGGAGTTGTCTTATATGCGATGAGCCGTTTTTCTCTTACTTCTTTCAAAATTTTCTCTATATAGCATTCAACATTTTTACTATGATGTGTCTTGGTGTGAAGCATTTTGTGTATATCCTACTTGGGGTTTGTTGAATTTTGTAGATGTTTAATGTTTATTCTCAAATTTGGGACGTTTTCAGATATTATATCTTTAAATACATTTTTCTGCTTTTTGCTCTCTCTTGTCCTTCTGGTAGTCTTTTCATGCATATATTGGTGTGTTTAATGGTGTCCCACCTTCTTCTGAGGTCCTCTTCATTTCTGTTTGTTGGATTGCATACTTTCTATCCACTTATCTTTTAAGTTTTCTGATTCTTTCTTCTGCCAGTTCAAATCTACTGTTGAGCCACTTAAGTGAAACTTTGATTCAGTTAATGTATATTTCAACTCAAAAATTTTTGATTCTTTTTATAATTCTCTTTATTGATATCCTCTTTTTAATAAGCCATTGTCATCGTATCTTTCTATACCTCTTCAAACCTGGTTACCTTTAGTTCTCTGAACATTTTTAAATTTTTAATTTTTGTGGGCACCTAGTAGGTGTGTATATTTATGGGGTGCATGAGATGTTTGGATACAGGCATGCAATGTGAAATAAGCACATCATGGAGAATGAGGTATCTATCCTCTCAAGCATTTATCCTTTGAGTTACAAACAATCCAGTTACACTCTTTAACCCATTTTGCATTTAGGAAAAAAGAAAGTTGCAGCTCACTGCCAGTGCAGTATTCTTGGGGCAAATGGGAAATGGGTTATTTTAAAATATGCTATTTTAAGTTATTATTGACTGTACTCACTCTGTTGTGCTACCAAATAGTAGGTCTTATTTATTCTTTCTAACTATTTTTTTTTTTGTACTCATTAACCATCCCAACCCTCACCCCACCCTCCCACTACACTTCCTAGTCTCTGGTAACCATTAGTTCTCTGAACAAAATTTATAACTGCTTTGAAGTCTTTGTCTGCCAAATCCCACATCTGGGCCTTCTCATAAGCAGTTTATATTACCTGCTTCTCTTTTCCTACCTATAGGTAATACTTTTCTATTTTCTTGCATGTCTTACAATTTTTTTGTTGAAAATTGGATATTTTAAATAATACATTTTAGCAACTCTGGATACTAATTCCCCTGACCACGGGGCTTGGTTGTTTTGTTGTTTGCTTGGTTATTGAGTGACTTGGATGGACTATTTTGGTGAAATCTATTCCCCAACAGTAGCAAGCCTCTAATGTCACTCCTCAGAGGGCACAGCTTTGGGCACTGGCACAGTCACCTTGGGATGACAGTAGTTTTAGCAGAACTCATGTAGGATGTCTCTTTTCCTGTTCTCTCTGTTAAGCTGTCTGACTCTGTTGGTCATACCCAGCTGTTAATGTTCACTAATTTCCAGCTGATTTCTTTCTTGTGCATGACAGTATCCTGGGCCAAAAGTTCCCCATGTTTAATCCAATTAAATTTGGGTTCCTTTTCAGGGGTAGATTTTGAAGTTTGTTCTGACCCCAGGAGGGGTCTTTGTGACTGGCTCTTTACCTGGTCTTCCTAACTAGCTGGCCTATAGTTTGGCTTATTATCATGGAGCTGCAAGCCTCCTCTTAATTTCTTACCAACAAAATCTCCATTGTTTTCAAGAGTTCCCTTAGAGTGGAACTCCTCCAACTCTGTTTTAAATAAAGTCAGAACCTTTGGGAAGAGCATCAGAGCTCTCTGTTTTTATAACCTCTCCCCCAGGAAAAAAATCTCTTTGCCACTTCTCTAGAGCTGGGGCTGGAGACAGTGGCCCATTTTTCTCAAAGTGACACTGCTGTTTTTGTGGGTGGAAGGTGCTGGTGAGGGCAGTAGTCTCTGAACTTCTCAGCTTACCTCTCTGGTCTGGAATCTTTCCCTCTGAGCAAGCTGGGGTGAAGGTATCAAGGTCTCATCATTCTCACCCTGCCATGCATGAAATGGAGCCTTTGAGTGGGGGACAGAGGAGCCTCTGAGTGGGGGATAGAAGGAAGCTTCTGACCGCTTGGCTACACTCACCTGGAATTGAGCCTCTGTGCTAAGGAGTTGGGAGAATGAGCTATGCTGGTGGCCTTATCCTCCAAAGGAGCCATCATAGCTCTTGACTGAAAGCTGAGTATAGAGAGAACTCCATCTTTGTGGCCATACCTATCCAGAGTAGAGACTGTGTTACACTGAGCAGTGGAGAGGGAGTAGAGAGAGGGAATAGGTCAGGGCCCAAGTCTCCAATTCTCACTATTCTTACTGAGAATTTTATGAAGACATTTTTCACTTTCTGTATCCTCTTAAGTTGATTTTCAGAGATTTTTAAAGATTGTTATTTTTAAGATAATTTAAACCAGTTATAGTTGTTTCACTGGAGAATATTTAAATAAAAATATTCAGATACCAAAATTCAAAATGTGTAATATCTAGTGAAAAATTACCAAGAATTCAAGGGAGAAAAATGTGATCCATAATAAGGATAAAATCAATCATGACAGAAGACTCATAATTAACACAGATGATAGAATTAGTAGACAAGAACACTTAGAATGCTACTGTCGAACTTCTTGCTTGAGCAGCAATGCGTAAATAGATTGCAAGTTGTCACTTCAGTTCTTACAACAAGTAGAGCCAGAAGAAACAAAAAAGCTTTTCTTTAAAGCCATCACAGAACTGAGGTCACAGGGCAAACTGTTACCCAAAAATCTAGAGAGATAAGCACTTCTAGAGATATATAGCTGAGACCTGCTTACCTAGAGCACAGGCCACAAAAACCATAAGCTGGTAGAAACTCTTCGGTGGTAATTTTGATGCATTATTGGAGGCTTAGTGTGAATATGATAGGGACAGGAGGCAGAGGAATTCTGGGCTGGAGAGGGTGAGTCCTTGGCAAAAACCCCACCCTGAAGCCAAAAAGCCTAATACCATGGTCCAAAGTGAGAACTTACATCCCTGTTTTCCCACTCGAATGTTGCCTTTTCCAAAACCACCCATGGCCTGCCTCACCACCCCATTCTGTGCCCATAAAAACCCCAGGCTCAGATAGGCATGGTGGCTCATGCTTGTAATCCCAGCACTTTCGGAGGCCGAGGCAGTGGATCATGAGGTCAGGAGATTGAGACCATCCTGGCTAACACAGTAAATACCTGTCTCTACTAAAAATACAAAAAATTAGCCAGGCATGGTGGCACACACCGTCTGTAGTCCCAGCTACTTGTGAGGCTGAGGCAGGAGAATCACTTGAACCCAGCAGGCAGAGGTTGCAGTGAGCCAAGATCGTGCCACTGCACTCCAGCTTGGGTGACAAAAGTGAGACCCCATCTCAATTAAAAAAAAAGAAAAACCCAGGCTCAGCCAGCAGAGAGAGGAGAAGAGAAGAAGCAGCTGGACTTTAGAAGCTATTGTTTGATGTTGAAAAGAAGCAGTTTGACTTCAGAGGGACAGCTTGACAGCATAGGCCAGAAGGAGGAGTCTGGCCTGGGATGGCTGGACTTCAGTGGAGGAATACCTTCCCACTCTGTCCCCTTTCCAGCTCCCCTTCCTGCTCAGAGCCACTTTCATCGGCAATAAAATCCCCCACATTTACCGTCCTTAATTCATTTGTGCAGCTCCATTCCTCCTGGATGCCAGACAAGAACTCAGGGGCCACAAGTGCAGGTATAAAGGCTGTCTCACTGAGCCTCCACTGAGCTGTTAACACTTAAGTCATCCATTGATGGCAAAGCTAAAAGGGCACTGTAACACTCCTTCTGGGGCATCAGGGGTTGCAGGCACCCTCCTGTAGATGCTGTCATGGGGCTCGTATGGAGTTCACGCTTGCCGATGTCCAATAGCGCTAGCTCCAGCTCTGGCACCCAGTCTCCTGCATGCTCCCCCTCCCATGAGGGGTGGAGCATGGCGGGCCAAGTAAGTGGAGTTTGCCCCTGCCAGTGCCTCTGTGCACTCCATTTCCTGCCTGTGAAGGGGGCCTGCTTCAATTACTTTGAGTAGGAGAAACTTCTTAGTTCTAAGGGCCCCAGTTTTAGGGTGGCTCTAACACTTTAATAGGTTTTACCTTTAGGAACTCCAACAGGGCTCAGGGTGGAGATTTAAGAAAGATCCCTCATGGTTATAGTTGGAAAGGGGAAGAGGAATCACTATAAAATACACTTAGAAACTTCTCCAAAAAAAGCACACTCACCAGGAGAAAATATTTTGTAAGAGCCTTATCCTGGTTGGTGGAATGAAATTCTTCCCACTCCAGCCAATTTCAGCCTTCTTGTATCACTAAGGAGGAAAAACAGAATTCAGAGCTTCAAAAAAAATAGATTGAAGATTCTGTAACCTGGGAAAGGATTGAGGGCTGGGGATAAGAAAAGCTATACACCATTGGAGAAGAGTCAGAAATACTTGTAAAGTTCACAGTCCTGGACATAGCCACATAAAAAGCTGAGATTTAAATGGAAGATTACAGAGCACTCTCTCTCCCCTAGACCACACCTCTATCCCAACAGAATCCCACAGCATTACATAGTGAATTATAGCCAAAAGAGTTCCAAGAAACAGACTCTCTCTGGAGAGCAGTAACTTGGGAAGCCAAAGTCAAGAGGAGACAAAAAGGTGGGCAGCAGAGAAATTTGCAGCATTTTAGATGTATAGGTAGAGAAAATACTAAACATAGCTTAATTCCTAGCTATAAATCCCCACGTTGCAGGTCTATTTACCTCAGTCCATATTACCCAATACAGACAAGAAAAAAATTACAAGGCATGACAAATGACAAGAAAAAAGTCACAACAAAACACTATCAGAAGCAGACTGAAGTATGATACAACTATTGGAATTTTCCAGACAGAAAATGTAAACTAATTGTGATTAATATATTAAGGACTCTAATGGAAAAAGTAGACCACATGCAAGAACAGATAGGTGATATAAAAAAAGAGATGGAAACTCTAAGAAAGGAAAAATAAAAGAAATACTAAAATTGGGTTAGGATTAATATCAGAATATATAAAAAACTCATACAACTCAACAGCAAGAAAAAACTCTTAAATATCCAACTTAAAAGTGAGCAAAGGACTTGAATAGACATTTCTCCAAAGAAGATATGCAAATGACCTGTAAGAACATAAAAGGATCATTAAGAAAATGCAAATCAAAGCCACAATGAAAACCACATCATACCCACTAGGATGGCCAATATACATGTGCACATGCACACACACAATCATACATGTTGGCAAGGATATGAAAAAATTGATGGCACATTTTTTATGAGAATGGAAAAATGGATAGTGCAGCTGCCACAAAAGACAGTATGGTGGTTCCTCAAAAATTAAACATAGAATATCATATGATTCACCAATTCTACCTCCAGATATATATCCAAAGGAATTGAAAGCAGAGACTCAACAGATGTGTGTACACCAATATTTGTAATAGCATTATTCACAATAGCCAAAAGATGAAAACCATGCAAATGACCATCAATGAATAAATGGATAAACATTCAATAGAATATCATTCAGCCTTAAAAAGAATTATCTTGATATGGCTGCCATCACAAAGTACCACAGATTGTGAAGCTTAAACAACTGAAATTTATTTTACCACAGTCTGGAGCTGCAAATCCAAAATCATGTGTGTCAACAAGGTTGTTTCTTCTGAGGCCTCTCTCCAAGGTTTTTTCTGATTGTTTGTTTTGTTTTCGTTTTGTTTTTCTGAGACGGGGTCTCGCTCTGTCACCCAAGCACGATCTCAGCTCACTGCAAGCTCTGCCTCCCAGGTTCACACCATTTTCCTGCCTCAGTCTCCCGAGTACTGGGACTGCAGGTGCCCACCACCACGCCCAGGCTAATTTTTTTGTATTTTTTTAGTAGAGACGGGGTTTCACCGTGTTAGCCAGGATGGTCTCCATCTCCTGACCTCATGATCCACCTGCCTCGGCCTCTCAAAGTGCTAGAATTACAGACCATGCCTGGACTCTCCAAGGTTTATTGGTATTTGTCTTTTCCCTCTGTCTTCACATGGTCTTTCCTTTGTGTGTGTCTGTGTCCTAATCTCTTCAATATGACACCACTCATATTAGCTTCATATCCATCTCTATGACCTCATTTTACCTTGATTACTTCTTTAAACGTTCTTTCTTCAAATATCACATTATGAGGTACTGGGGGTCAGGACTTCAACCTGTGAATTTTAGAGATACACAATTCGGCCCACAACATAAATGAACCTTGAAAACATTATGCTAAGTGAAATAAATGAGACATAAAAGGAGAGATATTGTATGATTACACTTACATGAGATACAAGAATAGTCAAATTCAGAGACAAAAAGTAGAAGAGTGGTTACCAAGTCCTGGGGAAAGGGTTGGAGGAATGCGGAGTTATTGTTTAATGCGCAGTTTTGGGATGACACGGAAGTTCTGAAGGTGGATAGTTATGATAAATGCACAATAATGTGTATATACTTAATGCCACTGAATTGAATATTTAAAAATCGTCAAAAAGATAAATTTTATGTTATGCATATTTTACCACAATAAGAAAGAAAACTCTAGAAATAAAAATATAGTAACAGAAATGAAGAATGCCTAGCAATGCATTGGAGGGGGAATAAATGGTATTAAAATTAAATCTTTTATTTTTCTTATCTTAATCTATGTAAAGTGTAACATTTAAAAATAATAGTATTACAATGTATTGCATGATTATCAAATATGAATAAGTGCAATTAATGATAGCAGTATTACAAGGGACATGAGAGAGAAGTTGAGAGTATTCTGTATGAGGTACCTATACTGTACACAAAGTAATATAATGACATCTGAAAGTGGACTGAGAGTACAGAATCGTATATTGTAAACTGTAGAGCAACCATTAAAAACCTTTTTAAGAGAAGTATAATTACTATTCTAAGAAAGGAAATAAAATGGAATCATATAAAATGATCAATTAAAAAGAAGACAGAAAAAGAGTAGGAAATAACAAACAGCAAATTCAATGAGCAGAAAACAATGACAAACATAGTAGATATCACTCCACCTATATGAATAATCACTTCAATTATGAATGGTTTAAAAATACCATTGTAACTGTACTCCATTTGCTTAAGAAGGTAGATGAAAAGCTATATACATTAAGGAGAGACATGGAAGATACAAACACTAAAATAAAACTTCTAAAGGTAAAAATACAATATCTGATATAAAAATTCATTGGATTAGATTAACAGCAGATTAAACATTGCAAAGGAAAAGATTCATGAATAAAAATCATAGCAACTGAAACTATACAACATGTCACACACAGATTTAAAAGACCGAAAATGATGAAGAGGGAATCTGTAAGCTAGATAAACTGCAAGCAGCTTAATAATATATGTAAGATTGGAGTTCCCAAAAAGTAGTAAAGAGGAGAATAATAAAAATGAGGGCCAGGTGCAGTGGCTCACACCTGTAATCCCAGCACTTTGGGAGGCTGAGGTGGGCGGATCATTTGAGGTCAGGAGTTCAAGACCAGCCTGGCCAACATGGTGAAACCCTGTCTCTAATAAAAATACAAAAATTAGCTGGGCGTAGTAGTGGGTGCCTGTAATACCAGCTACTTGGGAGGCTGAGGCATAAGAATTGCTTGAACCTGTGAGGTGGAGATTGCAGTGAGCCGAGATTGTGCTAATTCAACTCCAGCCTGGGCAATACAGCGAGACTCAGTCTCAAAAAACAAACAAACAAAAACAACAACAACGAATATTTGAGTACACAATGACTGAATATTTACAAATTTCATGGTAACTACAAATTCACAATTCCAAAAATCTCAATAAACTCAAACATGAAAAAATTACCAGGCACATTACAGTCAGATTGTTTAAGACTACTGATGGACAGCGTTAAATGCATCCAGATGTGGAGCACATGAGATACAAACTAACAAAGAATGAGATAAGAATGAAAGCATATTCCTCATTGAAAGAAATGCAATCAAGAAAACAAGTATAGCTTTTCTATAATACGGAAAGAAAATAAAAGTACTGAAATAGTTCTATAGTATTTGTACTCAGGGAAATCAGATTTTCACAAATGAAGGCAAAATAAAGAGCTTTTCAGACATGCAAAAGCTAAAAGAAATCAGTAGCAGAACCATATCACAAAGAAATGTTAATGGAAATTCTTCAGGCAGAAGGAAATGATACCCAGTGAAATCTACCTCTATTCAAAGGAATGAAAAGCATCAGAAATTATAGCTACATGAGTAAATATTTGTTTCTTATTATGTAAATTTCTTTTTTATTATTACTATTATTTTTAAATTATAGTTTCAGTTCTGGGGTACACGTGCACAACATGCAGGTTTCTTCACATATGTATACATGTGCCATGTTGGTGTGCTGCACCCATTAACTTGTCATTTACATTAGGTATATCTCCTAATGCTATCCCTCCCCTCTCCCCCCACCCCACAACAGGCCCCAGTGTGTGATGGGGGCCTGTGTCCAAGTGTTCTCATTGTTCAACTCCCACCTATGAGTGAGAACATGCGGTGTTTGGTTTTCTTTCCTTGCGATAGTTTGCTCAGAATGATGGTTTCCAGCTGCATCCATGTCCCTACAAAGGACATGAACTGATCCTTTTTTATGGCTGCATAGTATTCCATGGTGTGTATGTGCCACATTTTCTTAATCCAGTCTATCATTTTTGGACATTTGGGTTGGTTCCAAGTCTTTGCTATTGTGAATAGTGCCACAATAAACATACGTGTGCATGTGTCTTCATAGCAGCATGATTTATAATCCTTTGGGTATATACCGAGTAATGGGATGGCTGGGTCAAATGGTATTTCTAGTTCTAGATCCTTGAGGAATCGCCACACTGTCTTCCACAATGGTTGAACTAGTTTACAGTCCCACCCACAGTGTAAAAGTGTTCCTATTTCTCCACATCCTTTCCAGCACCTGTTGTGTCCTGACTTTTTAATGATTGCCATTCTAACTGGTGTGAGATGGTGTCTCATTGTGGTTTTGATTTGCATTTCTCTGATGGCCAGTGATGATGAGCATTTTTTCATGTGTCTGTTGGCTGCATAAAAGTCTTATTTGAGAAGTGTCTGTTCATATCCTTTGCCCACTTTTTGATGAGGTTGTTTGATTCTTTCTTGTAAATTTGTTTAAGTTCTTTGTAGATTCTGGATGTTAGCCCTTTGTCAGATGAGTAGATTGTAAAAATTTTCTCCCATTCTGTAGGTTGCCTGTTCATTCTGATGGTAGTTTCTTTTGCTGTGCAGAAGCTCTGTAGTTTAATTAGATCCCATTTGTCAATTTTGGCTTTTGTTGCCATTGCTTTTGGTATTTTAGTCATGAAGTCCTTGCCCATGTCTATGGCCTGAATGGTATTGCCTAGGTTTTCCTCTAGGGTTTTTATGGTTTTAGGTCTAACATTTAAGTCTTTAATCCATCTTGAATTAATTTTTGTATAAGGTGTAAGAAAGGGATCTAGTTTCAGCTTTCTACATATGGCTAGCCAGTTTTCCCAGTACCATTTATTAAATAGGGAATCCTTTCCCCATTTCTTGTTTTTGTCAGATTTGTCAAAGATCAGATTGTTGTAGATGTGTGGTATTATTTCTGAGGGCTCTGCTCTGTTCCATTGGTCTCTATCTCTGTTTTGGTACCAGTACCATGCTGTTTTGGTTACCGTTGCCTTGTAGTATAGTTTGAAGTCAGGTGGTGTGATGCCTCCAGCTTTGTTCTTTTGGCTTAGGATTGTCTTGGCAATGCAGGCTCTTTTTTGGTTCCATATGAACTTTAAAGTAGTTTTTTCCAATTCTGTGAAGAAAGTCATTGGTAGCTTGATGGGGAAGGCATTGAATCTATAAATTACCTTGGGCACTATGGCCATTTTCACGATATTGATTATTCCTACCCATGAGCATGGAATGTTCTTCCATTTGTTTGTGTCCTCTTTTATTTTGTTGAACAGTGGTTTGTAGTTCTCCTTGAAGAGGTCCTTCACATCTCTTGTAAGTTGGATTCCTAGGTATTCTATTCTCTTTGAAGCAATTGTGAATGGGAGTTCACTCATGATTTGGTTCTCTGTTTGTCTGTTATTGGTGTATAGGAATGCTTGTGATTTTTGGACATTGATTTTGTATCCTGAGACTTTGCTGAAGTTGCTTATCAGCTTAAGGAGATTTTGGGCTGAGACCATGGGGTATTCTAAATATACAATCATGTCATCTGCAAACAGAGAAAACTGGACTTCCTCTTTTCCTAATTGAATACCATTTATTTCTTTCTCCTGCCTGATTGCCCTGGCCAGAACTTCCAACACTATGTTGAATAGGAATGGTGAGAGAGGGCATCCCTGTCTTGTGCCAGTTTTTGCCCATTCAGTATGATATTGGCTGTGTGTTTGTCATAAATGGCTCTTATTATTTTGAGATACATCCCATCAATCCTAGTTTACTGAGAGTTTTTAGCATGAAGGGCTGTTGAATTTTGTCGAAGGCCTTTTCTGCATCTATTGAGATAATCATGTGGTTTTTGTCTTTGGTTCTGTTTATATGATGAATTAAATTTATTGATTTGTATATGTTGAACCAGCCTTGCATCCCAGGGTTGAAGCCCACTTAATCATGGTGGATAAGCTTTTTGATGTGCTGCTGGATTTGGTTTGCCAGTATTTTATTGAGGATTTTTGCATCGATGTTCATCAGGGATATTGGTCTAAAATTCTCTTTTTTTGTTACGTCTCTGCGAGGCTTTGGTGTCAGGATGATGCTGGCCTCATAAAATGAGTTAGAGAGGATTCCCTCTTTTTCTATTGATTAGAATAGTTTCTGAAGGAATGGTACCAGCTCCTCTTTGTACCTCTGGTAGAATTTGGCTGTGAATCCATCTGGTCCTGGACTTTTTTTGGTTGGTAGGCTATTAATTATTGCCTCAATTTCAGAGCCTGTTATTGGTCTATTCAGGGATCCAACTTCTTCCTGGTTTAGTCTTGGGAGGGTGTATGTGTCCAGGAATTTATCCATTTCTTCTAGATTTTCTAATTTATTTGCATAGAGGTGTTTATAGTATTCTCTGATGGTAGTTTGTATTTCTGTGGGATCGGTGGTGATATCCCCTTTATCATTTTTTATTGCATCTATTGGATTCTTCTCTCTTTTCTTCCTTATTAGTCTTGCTAGTGGTCTATTTTGTTAATCTTTTCAAAAAACCAGCTCTTGGATTCATTGATTTTTTGAAGGGTTTTTTGTGTCTCTATTTCCTTCAGTTCTGCTCTGATCTTAGTTATTTCTTGCCTTCTGCTAGCTTTTGAATGTGTTTGTTGTTGCTTCTCTAGTTTTTTTAATTGTGGTGTTAGGGTATCAATTTTAGATCTTTACTGCTTTCTCTTGTGGGCACTTAGTGCTATAAATTTCCCTCTACACACTGCTTTAAATGTGTCCCAGAGATTCTGGTATGTTGTATCTTTGTTCTCACTGGTTTCAAAGAACATCTTTATTTCTGCCTTCATTTTGTTATGTACCCAGTAGTCATTCAGGAGCAGGTTGTTCAGTTTCCATGTAGTTGAGCAGTTTTGACTGAGTTTCTTAATCCTGAGTTCTAGTTTGATTGCACTATGGTCTGAGAGACAGTTTGTTATAACTTCTGTTCTTTTACATTTGCTGAGGAGTGCTTCACTTCCAAGTATGTGGTCAATTTTGTAATAAGTGTGATGTGGTGCTGAGAAGAATGTATATTCTATTGATTTGGGGTGGAGAGTTCTGTAGATGTCTATTATGTCTGCTTGGTGCAGAGCTGAGTTCAATTCCTGGATATCCTTATTAACTTTCTGTCTCGTTGACAGAAAGTTTCTGTCAATTCCTGGATATCCTTGTTAACTTTCTGTCTTGTTGACAGTGGGGTGTTAAAGTGTCCCATTATTATTGTGTGGGAGTCTAAGTCTCTTTGTAGGTCTCTAAGGACTTGCTTTATGAATCTGGGTGCTCCTGTATTGGGTGCATATATATTTGGGTTAATTAGTTCTTCTTGTTGAATTGATCCCATTACATTATGTAATGGCCTTCTCTGTCTCTTTTGATCTTTGTTGATTTAAAATCTGTTTTATCAGCGACTAGGATTGCAACCCCTGCTTTTTTTTGTTTTCCATTTGCTTGGTAGATCTTCCTCCATCCTTTTATTTTGAGCCTATGTGTGTCTCTGCACGTGAGATGGGTCTCCTGAATACAGCACACTGATGGGTCTTGACTCTTTATCCAATTTGCCACTCTGTGTCTTTTAATTGGAGCATTTAGCCCATTTACATTTAAGGTTAATATTGTTATGTGTGAATTTGATCATGTCATTATGATGTTAGCTGGTTATTTTGCTCATTAGTTGATGCAGTTTCTTCCTAGCCTCGATGGTCTTTACAATTTGGCATGTTTTTGCAGTGGCTGATACCGGTTGTTCCTTTCCATGTTTAGTGCTTCTTTCAGGAGCTCTTGTAAGGCATACCTGGTGGTGTCAAAATCTCTCAGCATTTGTCTGTCTGTAAAGGATTTTATTTCTCCTTCAGTTATGAAGCTTAGTTTGGCTGGACATGAAATTCTGGGTTGAAAATTCTTTTCTTTAAGAATGTTGAATATTGGCCCCCATTCTCTTCTGCCTTGTAGAGTTTCTGCTGAGAGATCCGCTGTTAGTCTGATGGGCTTCCCTTTTTGCATAACCCGACCTTTCTCTCTGGTTGCCCTTCACATTTTTTCCTTCATTTCAACTTTGGTGAATCTGACAATTATGTGTCTTGGAGTTGCTCTTCTCGAGGACTATCTTTGTGGCATTCTCTGTATTTCCTGAATTTGCATATTGGCCTGCCTTGCTAGGTTGGGGAAGTTCTCCTGGATAATATCCTGCAGAGTGTTTTCCAACTTGGTTCCATTCTCCCCGTCACTTTCAGGTACACCAATCAGATGTAGATTTGGTCTTTTCACATAGTCCCATATTATTTGGAGGCTTTGTTCATTTCTTTTTACTCTTTTTTCTCTAAACTTCTCTTCTCACTTCATTTCATTCATTTGATCTTCAATCACTGATACCCTTTCTTTCACTTGATTGAGTCAGCTACTGAAGCTTGTGCATGCATCACATAGTTCTCATGTCATGGTTTTCAGCTCCATCTGGTCATTGAAGGTCTTCTCTATGCTGTTTATTCTAGTTAGCCATTCATCTCATCTTTTTTCAAGGTTTTTAGCTTCTTTCAGATGGGTTTGAATATCCTCCTTTAGCTCGGAGAAGTTTGTTATTGCTAATCGATTGCAGAATGGCAAATGTTGCTGCCTGATCCTTCCTCTGGAAGCTTCGTCTCAGAGGAGTACTAGGCTGTATGAGGTGTCAGTCGGCCCCTACTGGGAGGTGTCTCCCAGTTAGGCTACTCGTGGGTCAGGGACCCACTTGAGGAGGCAGTCTGTCCATTCTCAGATCTCCAGCTTCATACTGGGAGAACCACTACTCTCTTCAAAGCTGTCGGACAGGGACATTTAAGTCTGCAGAAGTTTCTGCTGCCTTTTGTTCAGCTATGCTCTGCCCCTAGAGGTGCAGTCTACAGAGGCAGGCAGGCCTCCTTGATCTGTGGTGGGCTCCACCCAGTTCGAGCTTCCTGGCCACTTTGTTTATGTACTCAAGCCTCAGCAATGGCAGACACCCCTCCCCCAGCCTTGCTGCCACCTTGCAGTTTGATCTCACACTGCTGTGCTAGCAGCGAGCAAGGCTCCGTGGGCATGGGACCCTCCAAGCCAGGCACAGGATATAATCTCCTGCTGTGCCATTTGCTAAGGCCATTGGAAAAGCACAGTATTAGGGTTGGAGTGTCCTGATTTTCCAGGTACTGTCTGTCAGGGCTACCCTTGGCTAGGAAAGGGAATTCCCCGGCCCCTTCTGCTTCCCGGATGAGGCAATGACCCGCCCTGCTTTGGCTCATGCTCCATGGGCTGCACCCACTGCCAACAAGCCCCAGTGAGATGAACCTGGTACCTCAGATGGAAATGCAGAAATCACTCATCTTCTGCGTCACTCACGCTGGGAGCTGTAGACTGGAGCTCTTCCTATTTGGCCATCTTGGAACCTCCCCTCATGTAAATTTCTTTTAAAGATAATTGGTTAAACTGAATGATAACAATGTGTTGTTATTGCAACATATGTATATACAAATAAAGTATATGACAAAAAAGCATAAAGACTGAGAGGGGAGAAATGCAAGTATACTATTGTAAGGTTTGAATAGTATATGTGAAATGGTATAATTCACTTGAAGCTAGATTGTGATAAGTTTAAGACATATACTATTACCCCACAGCAAACACAAAATTAGCAAAATAAAGAATTATAATTTTAAGCCAAAAAATACCAGAGACAAGTCTCAATCAATTCAGAAGTTTATTTAGCCAAGGTTAAGGACATACCCATGACATAGCCTTAGGAGGTCCTGAGAACATTTGCCCAAGGTGGTCTGGCTACAGCTTGAATTTCCATGTTTTATGGAGGTATAAGACATGAATCAGTACATGTAAGACATACACTGGTTAGGTCTGGAAAGGTGGGGTGTATTAGGGTTCTCTAGTGGGACAGGACTAATAGGATAAATTTATATGTGAAAGGGAGTTTATTAAGGAGTATATACTGTCACAAGGTGAAGTCCCAAAATAGGCCATCTGCAAGCTGAGGAGCAAGGAAGCCAGTCTGAGTTCCCAAATCTCAAAAATAGGGAAGCCGACAGTGCAGCCTTCAGTCTGTGGCTGAAGGCCCAAGAGCCCCTGGCAAACCACTGGTGTAAGTCCAAAAGTCCAAAAGCCGAAGAACTTGGAGTCCAGTGTTCAAAGCCAGGAAGCATACAGCATGGGAGAAAGATGAAGGCCAGAACACTCAGCCAGTCTAGTCCTTCCACATTCTCCTGCCTGCTTTATTTTAGCTGTGCTGGCAGCTGATTAGATGGTGCCCACCCAGATTGAGGGTGGGTCTGCCTCTTCTAGTCCACTGATTCAAATGTCAGTCTTCTTTGGCAACATCCTCACAGATACATCCAGGAACAACACTTTGCACCCTTCATTCCAATCAAGTTGACACTCAATATTAACCATCACATGGAGCAATGTGAAGGGGGAGGAAGGGGCAGTGGGGGGGTTGTGGCCTGCAAGTCATAAGTGGATTAAAAGATTTCCTGATTGGCAATTGGTTGAAAGCTTTTATCTAAAGCCCTGGAATTAATAGAAGGGTTAAAATAAGGGGTTGTGGAGACCAAGGTTTTTATTATGCAGATAAAGCCTCCAGGTAGCAGGCTTCAGAAAGAACAGATTGTAAATGTTTTTTATCAGACTTAAAAAGGTACCAAACTCAGTTAATTCTCTCCCGGATCAGGAAGAAGACCTGGAAATAAAAGGAGATTTTCTATAGAAGGTAGATTTTCCCACAAGAGACAGCTTTGCAGGGCCATTTCAAAATATGTTTAAGAAATATAGCCAGGCACGTTAGCTCATGCCTATAATCCTAGCACTTTGGGAGGCTGAAGCAGGTAGATCACTTGAGGTCAGGAGTTTGAGACCAACCTGGCCAACATGGCAAAACCACGTCTCTACAAAAAATACAAAAAAATAAGCCAGGAATGGTGGTGGGCACCTGTAATCCCAGCTATTCAAGAGGCTAAGGCAGGAGAATTGCTTGAACCTGGGAGACGGAGGTTGTGGTGACTGAGCCAAGATCATGCCACTGCACTCCAGCCTGGGCAACAGAGGGAGACTCCATCTCAAAGAAAAAGAAGAAGAAGGAGAGAAAAGAAATATCTTTTGAGGTAAAATATTTTTATTTCTTTTAGGGCTTGCTGTCTGTCATGTTGGTATCTTAATGGCTACCAAGAGTCTGTTTCATCAGTCGTAAGGTCTCTGTTTTAATGTTAAATGCTGGTCAGCTGTGCCTGAATTCCAAAGGAACGTGAGTATAGTGTGGCATGTCTGACCTCTACTACCCATCATGGCCTGAACTGATTTTCCAGGTTAACTTAGGAATGCCCTTGTTTGAGAAGAGGGGTCCATTCAATTGGTTGATGGGCTTAGAATTTTACTTTTGATTTACATAGTTAATGAACCAGAAAGGAAGATGAAATGTAATAAAAATGTTTGATCCAAATGGAAGAAAAGAAGAAAAAAGAACAAAAATCAAAATTATCGACTCAAACCTAACTATATAAATAATCATATTAAATGTAAATGGTTTAAACACCTCAATTAAAAGTCAGGAATTGTCATATAAATTTTTTAGGAAGACCCGATTCTATGCTGCTTACAAGAAATACACTTTATATATAAAGAAACAAATAGGTTAAAAAATACATACCATGTTAACAGAAATCAACAGAAAGCTGATAAATCTAGCCAGATTAATCAGGCATTAGAAGAAAAAAATGCCAGTAGCAGGAATGAGAAAGGTGACATGATTTTAGGTTTTAGATGTTAAAAGAATCATAACAAAATATTATATATAACTTCATGTCAATGATTTCCACAATTGTCATAAAATAGATGAACTCCTTGAAATACACAAACTACCATATCTCACTCAAGAAGAAATACATAATCTGAATAGCCCTACATCTGTTAGAGAAATACAATTTGTAGTTACAAAACCTTCACATAAAGAAAATGCCAGGCCCAGGTGGCTTCACTAGTGAATTATATCAAATATTTAAGAAGTAATACTAATTTTACATGAACTCTTCATAGAAAATTTTTGAGAAGGTAATTATTTCCTACCTCATTCTATGAAATTAGCATTACCCTGATATAAATGTCAAAGACATTACAAGAAAAGTAAACTAGAGACAATATCTCTCATGACATTAGTTGAAAAAATGCAATTTTAGCAAATAAATTACAGCATTATGTAAACAGAATAACACACAAGGACCAAGGGGGCTTATCCTAAGAATGTGAAATTGTTTTAACATTTAAAAATCAAACAGTGTACTAAGAAGAAGGAAGACAAAAACAAATGAAAAAGACATTGCAACTGACGTCACAGAAATCCAAAGATCATAAGAAACTGCTGTGAGAAAAAATACACCAATAAACTCGATAACCTAGAAGAAATGGATAAATTCCTAGAAACATACAACCTACCAAGAGTGCATCATGAAAGAAATAGGAAATTTAAACAGGCAAACAGTGAATAAGGAGATCGAATCAGTAATAAAAAAAACTCCCAACAAAGCAAAGCCTCTGACCTGATGACTCTGCTGCTGAAGTCTACCAAATATTTAAAGAAGAATTAATACCAATCATTTTAAAACTCTTCCCAAAAAATCAAAAAGGAGAGAATATTTCCAAACTCATTTCACGAGGCCAGCATTATGTGAATTTAAAGACAGATAAAAGACACTACAAAAAGAAAACTACAGGTCTATGTCCCTGATTAATATAGATGCAAGGATCCTCAACAAAATAATTGCAAACCAAATTTAACAGCAAATTAATAGGATCATACACCATGACCAAGTGGGATTTATCCCTGAGTTGCAGGGATGGTTCAACATATGAAAATCAATTAATGTGATACGGTTAATAGAATAAAAGATAAAAATCACAAAATCATCTCAATAGATTTAAAAATAATAATTTGATAAAATTTGACACTTTTTCATGTTAGAAACTCTCAACAAACTAGGAAGAGATGGAAGTTACCTCAACATATTGAGGCCAGATATGAAAATCCCACAGCTAACACCACACTCAGAAGTAAAAAACTAAAAGCTTTTCCTCTAATATCAGGAAAAAGACAGGGATGTTCACTTTTACCACTTCTATTCAACATAGTAATGAAAGTCCTGCCCAGAATGATTATTCAAGATCAATACAAAAAATACATCAAGTTCAGAAGGAAGAAGTGAAATTGTACCTGTTTAAACATGATCTAATATACAGAAAACTCTAAAGACTCCATAAAAAACTGTTAGAATTAATAAGTCAATTCAGCAAAGTAGTATGATAAAAAACAATATGTAAAAATCAATTGCATTTCTATACACCAAAAATAAACTCTCTGAAAGAAAATTAGGAAACCAATCCCATTTACAACACTATCAAAAATAATCAAATACTTAGGAATAAACTTAGCCAAGGAGGTAAAAGACACACTGCAAACTGCAAAACATTAATTTAAGAAATTTAAAAGGACACAAGTAAATGGAAAGACATACTGTGTTCATAGATTGGAAGTCTTAATATCTACACTACTCAAAGCAATCTACAAATTCAATTCAATCTCCATAAAAATCCTAATAGCATTTTTACAGACAGAGAAAAAACAATTCTAAGATTCATATATAATTGGAAAGTACCCTGAATAGCCAAAACAATCTTGAGAAGAAAGAGCAAGGCTAGAGGCATCACTTCCTAATTTCAAAATATATTGCAAAGCTATAGTAATTAAAATAGTATGTTAACAGCATAAAGATAGACATATAAGACCAATGGGTTAGAATAGGGAGCCAAGAAATAGATCTGTGTATATACAGTCAATTGATCTTTGACATGGGTGCCAAGAATGCACAATCAGGAAAGGACAGTCTCTTCAACAAATGCTGCTGGGAAAACTGGATATCTCCATGCAAGAGTAGAACTGGATCCTTGTCTTATACCATGCACAAAAATTAAATCAAAATGGATTAAAAACTTAAATGCAAGGTGAGACTGTAAAGCTTCTATAAGAAAACACTGGGAAAAAGATTAATTTCCAAAATACGTTAGGAACTCAAACAACTCAGTAGATAAAACTAACAATCTGATTTTTTAAATGAGCAAAGGACTTGAATAGACATTTTTCCAAAGAAGAGAAATACCCACAGGTATATGAAAAGATGCTCAGTGTTACTAATCATCAGAAAAATGTAAATCAAAACCACAATGAAATATTTCCTCACACCTGTCAGGATGATGATTATTTAAAAAAAAGACAAGTGTTGGAAGGGATGTGGAGAAAGGGAACCCTTGTACATTGTTTGTGGGAATACACGATAGTGCATTTACTATGGGAAAAAAGTATGAACGTTCTTCAAAAAGTTAAAAACAGAGCCATTATATTGCTCCAATAATCCCACTTCTGGGTATTTATCCAAAAGAATTGAAATCAGGATCTTGAAGTAATATTACCATTCCTATGTTCATTGCAACACTATTCGTAATAGCTCAGATGTAGAAACAACATTAATGTCCATTAACAGATAAATTCATAAAGCAAATGTGGTATAGACATACAATGGAAATACTATTCAGCATTAAAAAAGAAATTCTGCAATATGTACAACATGAATAAACCTTGAGGATATTATTCCAAGTGAAATAAGCCAATCACAGAAAGACAAATCCCGTATAATTTGCTTATCTTAGATAGTGAAAATATTAACAGTACAATTCATAGAATCAAAGAGTGGAATGGTGGTTGCCAGGACGGGAGTGAAAGGGAAGTGAGGAGTTGCTTATCAATGGGTATAAAATTTCATTAATGCAAGATGAATTAGCTTTAGAGATCTGCTGTATAATACTGTGCCTATAGTTAACAATATTTTATTGTATACTGAAAAATCTCATAAGAGAGTAGATCTCATGTTATATTCTTACCACAATAAAATAAAAATTTTAAAAATCAAGCACTGTAGTTCACCAAATTGAGAAATTAAAAAAGAAAAGATCTTATCTCAGTATAATCAGAAGAAAATAACTCTCAGCAAACTGGCACTAGCAGGAAACTTCTTCAACCTGATTAAGGTAATTTACAAAAAACCTACAGGTAATGTCACGCTTAATGTTGAAAGACTGAATGCTTTCCTCCTGAGATCAGGAATGAGATGAGAATGTCAGCTCTTACCACTTCTATTCAACATTGTAATTGAGGCAATAAAGCCAAAAGAAAAGAGAAAAACACACAGGTGAATTGGAAAAAAAGTAAAATTGTTTCTGTTTCTCAGGTAACATGACAGGAAGTTTTGTGGAATCTACACAAAAACTATCAGAAATTAATATGCTACTAATTATTATTAACTAATAAGCTGATAAAGCTACTAGTACTAACAAATTAGTTAAGCAAAGTTGAAGGATAGAATACGACTATACAAAGTTTCTTCCTTATACTAGCAATGAACAATCAGAAATTGTATTTTAAAATTATGATTTATAGGCCATACACGGTGGCTCATACCTGTAATCCCAGCACTTTGGGAGGCCAAGGCGGACAGATCACGAGGTCAGGAGATGGAGACCATCCTGGCTAACACGGTGAAACCCCATCTCTACTAAAAGTACAAAAAAAAAAAAATAGCCAGGAGATTTACAATAGCAGCAAAATATCAAATACTTAGGGATAAATTTGAGCAACAAAACATGTAAGACCCTTCTACCCTGGTTTGATAGAGAGGAGTGGAAGAGAAGGCTTGCCAAAGGGCAACAGGAACATTTTGGGGTGACAGATATTAATTCTTGACTTTTAATGATAGTTTCCTGTGTTTTACACGTGTCAAATACTATCACACTGTACACCTTAAATATGTGCAGTTAATTGTATGCCAATTATACCTCACTTCTCTTAGGAATGAGAAATTGGCAATACATGTTAAACCCACTCTGTTACTTTCTTTTCCAGGGCCTCAGACAGAGACAGAGGGGTGTGACAATCACAGCTGTGGTAGCTAAACTTGCCCAAACATCTGTTTAAACTCAGTAAAAATGAATAAATGAAAAATCATTTTGCTTGAGAATAAATTTCTCTTTTTAACTTCTTGCACAAATTGCAACTGCATTGCCCTTCCCTTGCTTTGCCTTTTGATCTCAGAAATGATCCTGCAGTCCGACCCTGAACACTAACCTTGATTGGAGCAGCAGGAAAATATCATGGGATGTCTGAACAAATTATGAAGCTTATAACCCCCAGGTCTTACAATTTTCCAAGCTTCTCCTCCTAGGCATTACCTGTGCTACCACACAGAGCCATTGCAGGCACGGGGAAATTGAGAATTCTTCTTAAAGCTGTTAAGGGACTGAGGAATAAGTGAGATTTGTCTCTTAAGCACTGAAGGATTCCCTAAAATGTATAGACAGCCTTGTAGACAGCTATTGAATTATTTGTCCAACTGTGTCTGGAATGTTTCTTCCAGGATGCAGCTTCTTTAATGCTCCGAATCTAAAGATAGTTTAGATTTGAGTCAATTTTTCCCCCAGGTCTTAAGCTAGGAAACTATGCAGGTAACTAATGGGATTATGACAAAACTCTTCAGGAATCTTTTTATTTTAACCCTTAAAGTAAAAGTGATTCTTTAAATCTTCCTGAACCTTGAAGAATTGAGCTAACTCAGATATTAAGAGTTTAGAGTTGCTTTTTCTTTTTCTTTTCTTTCTTTTTTTTTTTTTTTAGACGGAGTCTTGCTCTGTTGCCCGGGCTGGAGTGCAGTGGCATGATCTCGGCTCGCTGCAACCTTCGCCTCCCGGGTTCAAGCGATTCTCCTGCCTCAGCCTCCTGAGTAGCTGGGACTACAAGTGGCCGCCACCACGCCCAGCTAATTTTTGTAATTTTAATAGAGACGGGGTTTCACCATATTGGTCAGGCTGGTCTTGAACTCCTGACGATCAGGTGATCCACCCGCCTTGGCCTCCCAAAGTGCTGGGATTACAGGCGTGAACCACCATGACCAGCTTAGAGTTTCTCTTTCTACATCATTTACCTTGTATGTCTATATCTAACCCAGGACTCAAGACAGTGATCTTAGACTCAACAACTTGGAATTATTTTTCCATTCACACAATTTCTCCCAGAGCTGTTTAAATTCACAAGGTAGCTGCTTCTGATGGGTTTATGAGTCAGATTTAGACTTAGCTCCCTCAAATTTTACAGAGATCTCTTTTTTCCAACTTGTTTCCAACAAGAGTGTCACAAACACTAGGTGCTAGAAAACTCTCCACTCAGAATAGTGACCTGCATGTGTATCATCTACAAGACCCCCAGCAAAGACTTGACCTCATTCCCTGAGACTCTATTTAAAGCTGGGACTTGTCCAACTCTGGATGAGCTTGCCTTCTCAAGTTTCTAACTCCTAGGGGTGAGCAAGAAGCTCTACAGTTAAAATTTAATGGAATTTTCAGCCCGGCATGGTGGCTCACGCCTGTAATCCCAGAACTTTGGGAGGCTGAGGCAACCAGATCACAAGGTCAAGAGATCGAGACCATTCTGGTCAACATGGTGAAATGCCGTCTCTACTAAAAAAATACAACAGAGCAAGACTCCGTCTCAAAAAAAAAAATGGAATTTTTTCACATTTTTTCAACATTTCCAGAAAGATGGTTGACTTTGCTGGGTTTTCTTTCCTTTTCTTAACCTATAAGAGCAATATCTGTAACCTGCATCCTTTGCCCACAAATGAACTCTGACTTCCTGAAACTCTAAGTGAGCAACTTGGTTGTTACTTCTGGAGGTATCAGCCTTCTGCTAATTGCATTTAAGATGCCATTGTAGAAAGTTTTGGCCATAGGACCTGGCTGGAAAACACTGGCCCCACTGGACTGTACTCTGTACTCAAACTTTCCTTAAGTATAAAGATTTGATAGAGAATGGCTTTTATATAGGAAGATCCTGGGGATGGTTAAGCACATGAGAAATGATTATTGGGGTTCTCTGAGAAAGAAAATTGTCAGAAGAGGCAATTGAATCACCGAAATCTACCAACTAATGTAGAATAAGTCACTGCAAGAGTCAGCTTAATTTCTCTCCAAATGAGAAAGCAGTCGTCAAACTCCTTCACATATCCTTGAAACATACGAACAATCTGGGCATCTGTTGTCTACACAGGGGTTGCTTCTCTTGAATTCTTTAAACATAATTTGGTACAATAGAGTATTAGTCTTTTGCATTTGTGTGTGTGTGTGTCTGTGTGTATACACACACAGACATACACACATATGCCATACAATATTTTTTGAAGTTTTATTAAGTTTAATAATTGAATGACTAATACTGCAGCTATGTCTAGCATATTGTGTTAGAAAGCATGCTTAGCCTCTCTGTAAGAGAGAGCCCCAGAGACCTGGGAACATTTATCTATGTAGAACCATATATCTAGTAGAACCACAGAACATTTATCTATGTAGGCTGAATGTGCGATTTATCATATTCTCAACAATAATCCTACGCTTGGTGAAATGTATAAGGGACCTTTGCGTACCTTTTTTTCTTTTTGCAACTTCATGTGAATCTACAATTATTTCAAAATAAAAAATTTTAAAAAGTACATGTGTCAAAAGAAATCTCTTGATAAACATAAAACAATAAAAAAGGAACCTTTGTCAGAAACACATGGATAGGCTCTCTGTGCTTGTCTCTCATGGCTGTTGCTTAACTTGAATAAAAATTCACATCATGTCAAATATTACAAGCAACATATCTGTGACATAGTCTATTGAAGCAGTCACATTGGCATTGGGGAGATACACAAACAAAGCGAACCATAGCCATCTGGTATTCTCAGCTTGTTTACAAAATCACTTAACGAGGCTAAGTTGAAGATGTGGAAATAGAGGTGCATCTGGGAGTGAATGGTCTCACCTGTCCCCGACTTACTTTTCTCTCTCTCCATTTCCCTCAGGGCTCAATGAAGAGGGAGTCATGAAGAATTTGGAAGAGCAAGTGCCCCAGTCCTATGTATTTATGTCTCCCCACTGATGTACAGTGCTCCATCTGCCATAAATGTCTATCGACTCAATTCTGAGTCATTTACTGGACTTCTATTTTTTTTCCTTTGGGCTATTTCATCTATCAGGAGATTTGCCCCATGCTGTCTTGAAGGCTAACATTATGGATTTTGATTGGTGTACGGCAGTTCCTTACATCTTATTATTATTATTTTTATTCTACAGATTTGTTTTCAATTCTTCGGCCTTTGACTTTTTTTGTACGAAGTTAAGAATTATTAATAGTTGTTTAAATACTCAAAAAACACAGTGAAAATTTTTAGGGGAAATGCACTGAATATATCTATCAATTTGAAAATGGAGGCTGGGTGCAGTGGCTCACGCCTGTAATCCCAGCACTTTGGGAGACAAAGGCAGGCGGATCACGAGGTCAGGAGATCCAGACCATCCTGGCTAATATGGTGAAACCCCGTCTCTACTAAAAATAAAAAAAATTAGCTGGGCGCGGTGGCTGGTGCCTGTAGTCCCAGCTACTGGGGAGGCTGAGGCAGGAGAATGGCGTGAACCCGGGAGGCGGAGCTTGCAGTGAGCCGAGATCGTGCCACAGCACTCCAGCCTGGGCGACAGAGTGAGACTCCGTCTTAAAAAAAAAGAAAAGAAAATGGAAAAGCTTAAAATCATGAGTTATATATTATCTTACATATTACTATATACATAATTCAGTGAATTATAGTATTCAAGAATATAGAATGAATTTTCATTTAGTTTTATAAATTTCCATGTTTCTTGATCTTATTGAGCATTCAAGGCAATCAATAAAATATACTCCTGATACTAGAAATTCCTTATATTTTCTGGGTATTTTTTGTGGCATCTGTACATTGCAAATACTTTCTACCAGTCTGAAGATTGGTTGTCACTTTGTTAGGTTTTCTTTAAGATGTTTTTTTCTTTCTGGCCGGCCGCGGTGGCTCACGCCTGTAATCCCAGCATTTTGGAAGGCCAAGGCGGGCGGATCACTAGGTCAGGAGATCGAGACCATCGTGGCTAACACGGTGAAACCCCCTCTCTAATAAAAATACAAAAAATTAGCCGGGCGTGGTGGCAGGCACCTGTAGTACCAGCTACTCAAGAGGCTGAGGCAGGAGAATGGCGTGAACCCGGGGTCTGGGCTTGCAGTGAACCGAGATTGCGCCACTGCAGTCCAGCCTGGGTGACAGAGCAAGACTCCATTCAAAAAAAAAAAAAGAGAGATTTTTTTCTTTTCAATGTGGAAGAGTTAAATTATCTTTTCCTATTGTGGTTTTGTTTCAGACAGTATTCATAAGAAAATTCTCTTATTCTTTTTACTAAATGACTCACATATTTTGTTTCAAATTTAAGTTTTTAATCCCACTGGGATGAATTTAGTGTAAGGCGTAAGTACGGATCCACAATGTTTCAATATGGATATCTGAATGGTTTAACTGCTTTTATTTTATTTTATTTATTTATTTATTTATTTATTTATTTATTTATTTTGAGATGGAGTCTCGCTCTGACACCCAGGCTGGAGTGCAATGGTGTGATCTTGGCTCACTGCAACCTCCGCCTCCCGGGTTCAAGCGATTCTCCTGCCTCTGCCTCCCAAGTAGCTGGGATTACAGGCGCCCACCACCACGCCAGGCTAGTTTTTTGTATTTTTAGTAGAGAGGGGGTTTCACCATGTTGGTCAGGCTGGTCTTGAATTCCTGACCTCAAGTGATCCGCCCGAGTGATCTGCCCGCCTCCACCTCTCAAAGTGCTGGGATTACAGGCGTGAGCCACAGCGCCCGGCCATGACAGCTTTTAAAATAGTCATCTTTCTAAATTGCCCTGCTGTTTCCACTTTCTCATAGGTATCTGTTTCCATTTTGTTTCTTCAGTTTCATTGGCTTGTCTCTATTTTTTCCAATACAAAGCTATCTTAATTAATTTATTTTCATCATAAATTGTAAGGTCCAGTAGATAATTTCTCTTATGTTATTACTGCATGAGAGTGTCTTTGGTTTTCTTTGGTGTGAGGTTTATTTTTTCATATTAATTTTGCATCAGCTTATGAAGGACATTAGGAAATCTGGTTGAGGTTTTGGCTGGAATTAACATTGACAATTTGGGTGGAATTGATATTTTTTATGATTTTGACTTTTCCTATTGATATTTGCAGTATAAATCTCCATTTATTTGCTTTTATTTTTTTTCTCTTATGAATAAGTTCACCTTTAAAATGGTGAAACCATAGTATTCATCTCCCAGGGTAGGTTAAATTTCTTACAATAGTGAGGGGACTATAAAATACTTTTTATCTTTGGTGAAATTTACCCCTAAGTTCATAGCATTTGAGTTTGCTATTGAAAAATTTGTTATTTATATTTTTAACTTAACAATTACACATTTTTTTAAACCAGTTAATCACCAAGTATGCTAATCCTAAATTACATTTTCTCTCCTCACTGATGTGTGTGTCTCCTCTGTAAGACACCATGTGGATATAAATGCTAAGTATGATTATGGGCCTCTGGTCTTTTCCTGTGAGCTACTTTGCCTCTCACTGTGCCTATACCACTGTCTTGATGAGTCTGGCTTTCTAAAACCTTGATTGGTAGTAAGGCACGTGCTCCAAATGTGTTTGTTTCTTTTACAGATATTTTTGAGTTTTCTTACCTCTCTTTTTTTCAAATATATGTGAAAATCTGGCTATCGATGTCCTCACTCAACCTAGTGGATATTTTAAGTGGAAAAATATTGTATATAGAGAGCATATTGAAGTGTGAGATGCTTCATGTATGGAACTATCTTATGCATGAACATAGACCTGATTAAGTTATGTGCATTGACAGGTTGGAAAGATGCATTTAAGATTTAAGAACAATCAATGACTTCCTCTGTTTCCACTAGAGTCCCCACAAAATTGAAACACATTAGGGGAAAAACATAGATGAAGTCCAAAATATTTTTAAAAATAGCTCACAGATAATGACTCATAGGACAAAACATTTAGGGTTGGAGCTCAGCCAGCTTTAAGTTCTCAGAGCTTAAAGGGTCAGGGTCACTAGCTCAAACCTGAGGCCCCTAATCAGCCTGGCACCTGTCCTAAGGTTGGAATGGGCTGATACTTTGCACTGGACACTCTTGTTCCCTGAGAGATGCCCACTTTGCTCTACTTGCCCCATTTGTTCTAATAAGATCCTATACTGGTGATGTCAGCAGGTGTCTGATACAAGGAAATATGGTGTATGGAGTGGGAGAGGTGAAGAGTAGTGAGGTAGTGATTTCATGGTGTGGGATACATTAGGACCAACCCACTTAGAAAAAAATGGCTTTCGCAACAATTTTTTACCACTAATGCCCTTGGCAAAAACATCCTTAAGAACAATTGCCCTTAGCACCAACACTTTTAAAAATATGCCTATCACAACAATGACTTGTTAATAATGGCCCTTAGCAACAAATCCCATAGCAACAATACCCTTAGCATAGACACCATCAGGAATAATGCTTTAAGACAACATTGTTAATATTAACCTTTTTAGCCAAAAGACTCTTGGCAACATAATCTAAGCAACAGTAACATTAGAAAAATGCCCTCAGCTATAACACTATTTGCCACAGTTGCTCTTAGCAACACCTTTGACTGACATTAACACTCCTAGAAGCAATATCTTACATTAGCAATCATGGACCTTAACAACCACCCCAAACAACAATGACCTTAGCAACAAATAGCTTGAAATGAATACCTTTACCAAAATGTCCTTTAAAAAAATGGCCTTTAGCATCAAGACCCTTAACAAAAATGGCCCTTAGGAACAATGACCCTAGAGACAACACTCATAACATAACAACAATGGCCCCTAACAACAATGTCCTTAGCAGCAACATCATTAGCAATGGTGCACCTTACTGACAAATCTCTAAGCAACAACAGCCTTAGCATAATTGCCTGTAGAAATAGTGGGAATTATGCCAATTGCAACAATGCCATTGGCAACAATGTCTTTAAAATCAATGTCCATAGCAACAATGCCCTTAGGAACAATGGTATGTCCATTTACCTCTATAAATTGCCATGGTACTTTGGAAATGGTCAAACCATGGCCTGTTAGTGTATCTTAGCAAAAACACCCTTAGAAATAATACCTTCAAAAACCATGGCCCTTAGCAATAACAAAATTAGAAATAAAGCAATTAGCAACAATGCCCTTACAAAAATGTCCTTTATAGTGGCATTAACAACAGCACTCTTACCAATGGCACCTTAGTAAAAATGCTTTTAGTATCAACTCCTTAGCAATAATGACATCAGCAACAGTGTTGTTGGCAACAGCACACTTTACAGCAATGCCCTAGCTACAAAATACATAATATCAATGAACTTAGCAACAATGGCTCCTGGAGAAATGCTCTGAATGGTAATACTCATAGAACCAACACTCTTAACATCAGTACCATTAGCAAGAAAGGGGTAAACAACTGACCTTAGAAATGACATTCTTAATAATGTCCTTAGTAAAAAAATCATGCGCATCACCCCTATAACCAGTGCCCTTAGCAACAGTGCTCTTATCCAAACTTGCCTTACCAAGAGTTTACCATTGTTTACCTTATAAACAATGGCCCTTAGCAACCACACTCTTTGCAACAATGTCCTAACAATATTACTATTAGCAAAAATCCCCTAAGACCAGCATTCTTGACAACAGCCCTCTTGGCCCTTAGAAGCAATGACTTTAGCAACCAACAGTGAGCCATAAAAATAAAGCCTTGGTAATAATGCTGTTAGCATTGACCTTAGTAAAATGGTCTTAGCAACAGTCTTTAGCAAGAGTGACTCTAGAAATGTCCCCTTCCCAACAATGCCCTTTGAAGAAAATACCTGTAACAACAATGCCTTTAGTCACAATGCCTTCAGCAAAAATGTCCCTTGCCAACATTAACACCCTAGGAACAATGATCTTAGAAACAGTGTCCTTAACAATAATATACAAAAACATTCTAAGCAATAGTACCCTAAGCAACAATATACTTAGCAGTAATACCCTCAGTAACAATACTCTTAGCAACACGAGATTTAGGATCAGTGCTGGTAGAAACAGCATCATGAGAAACACTAGCAATAGTAATAATGCCTTTAGCCACAATGACCTTCAACAGTTCTCTTATGAACATCACCCATAACTACAATGGCTCCAGGAACAATGCACTTAGAAATAACTTCCTTAGCAACAGTGACCTTACTATCGATGCCAATTGAAATATCGCCCTTAGGCACGTGTTCCATGGCAGCAACATCATTAGTAACCACAGCTTTTGTAACAATGACTTTTAGCAAAAACATTAGCATAGTGCCTTAACAAAGGCCCTTAGAAACAATGCAACTACAGGCCGGGCAAGGTGGCTCATGCCTGTAATCCCAAGCACATTGGGAGGCTGAGGTGGGTGGATCACTTGAGGTCAGGAGTTTGAGACCAGCCTGGCCAACATGATGAAACCCCATCTCTACCAAAAATACAAGAATTAGCTGGGCATGGTGGTGCACGCCTGTAATCCCAGCTACTCGGGAGGCTGAGGCAGGAGAATCACTTGAACCTGGGAGGCAGAGGTTGCAGTGAGCTGAGATCATGCCACCACACTCCAGCCTGGGCAACAGAGGGAGAATCCATCTAAAAAAAAAAAGAAAAGAAAAGAAAAGAAAAGAAAAGAAAAGAAAAGAAAAGAAAAGAAAAGAAAAGAAAAGAAAAGAAAAAAGAAACAACGCAATTATCATCAATTCCCTTGGCAACGGATCCTTTAGAACATAATGCTCTTAACAACAGCACCCTTAGCAACAACATCCTTGACAACAGTGTACTTAGCAACAGTGCCTTTAGCTAAAATGGCCTTTAGTAAAATCAACTTTAGCAACAATGCCCTTATAAAAGATGCCCCTTGTAACAGTGTCCTTAGCCAGAATCCCTTTAGGAACAATGCCTTTACCAAAATGTATTTGCAACAATGTCCTTAGCAAGAGTCCTTTTGTAACAATACTCTTAGAAACAATGCTCTTACTAACATTCCCTTAGGAACAACACTGTCGGTGACATTAATGCTCTTAGCAACAATGACCCTTGAAATAATGCCCTTCAAACAATGTCCTTAGAAGCAATTGTACTTAGACACAATGACCTTTCATAACAAATGCCCTTAATAACAACCCCCTCAGCAACAATGCCCTTAGCCTCAGTTCCTTGAGTAACAGTGCTATTAGCAGTAAACCCTTAGGTAAGATGCCTTTACCACAGTGCTTTCAGTAATAACGTGTTTAACTTCAACACCCTTAGAAACAATGTTCTTAGCAAAAATGGCCCTTAGCAACAAAGCTCTTATGGATTCACTAAGAAACAGTCCCCTTAGCAACAGTGCCTTTAGCAATAATCATTTAGCAACAAGACACTTTACTAAAGTGCCTTGCAATAATGTACCTAACATCAACATTCTTAGCCATAATGAGTTGTAGTAAAAATTATCTAAACGTGTTTTTAGCATCAGGGCCCTTAACATCAAAACTCTTAGATTTAACGACCATAACAATAATATCTTTAACACAGTTCCTTCGCAACAGCCCCTAACAATAGCCTTAGGAACAATGCCTTTACTAAAATGCATTTAAGTTCAACGGCCTTAGCAACACTGTCCTTGGCAATATTAGATCTTAGTGGCAATGCTCTCAGCAGCAGTGGTACTCAGCAATGATTTCTCTTACAACACCCTTAGCAACAATACCCATAACAGCAGCACACTTTAAAAAACAGGCTTAGCAACAATGTCCTTAACATCAGTGCCTTTTGGAACATCAACCTCAGCGACAGTTGCACTTACTAAGAGTGCCTTTAGCATCAGTCTCCTTAGCAATACCACCATTCAAACCAACACCCCTTAGCCAAAATGATTCTAATAACGGCACACTTTATTTTCTTTTTGACAGAGTTTCCTTCTTGTTGCCCAGGCTGGAGTGCAATGGCGTGATCTCGGCTCACTGTAACCTCCGCCTCCCAGGTTGAAGCCATTCTCCTGCCTCAGCCTCCCAAGAAGCCAGGATTACAGGTGTGCACCACTACGCCCAGCTGATTTTGTAATTTTCGTAGAGATGGGGTTTCACCATGTTGGTTGGTCAGGCTGGTCTCAAACTCCTGACCTCAAGTGATCCACCGGCCTCGGCCTTCCAGAGTGCTGGGATTACAGGCGTGAGCCAGCGTGCCCGGCCAACAGCACACTTTCAAACAACACCTTAACATCAACATCCTTAACTCTCTTTGCAACAATACCCTTAGGATTAAGTCCCTGAGCAATAGAGTCATTAACAGCAGTGTATTTAGTAGCAATGCCTCTTTACTGTAATACACTTAACAATAATGAACATAGTAACAATGCCCTTAGCCATAAAGGATTTTACAACAACAACCTTAGCAACGACACTCACAGTGACAGTGTCCTTCAAATGAGTTTCTTAGAAACAGTGGTCTTAGGATCAACATTTTAGCATGAATGCTCTTTGCAACAATTATTCTAGGAAAAGTGCTTCTAGCAACTAGCCCTTTAGCAACAACACACTGAACAAGAATGCTCTAGCAAAAATGTACTTAATAACAACATCCTTAGCAAAAATACCCTTAGCAAAAATGAGTCTTAGTAACAGAGCCTTAATGTCAATGTCCTTAGCTACAATGCCCCTAATATCATTGTCAGAGTGACAATATCCTTAGCAACAATAGGCCACATCAACAAAACACCTAGCAGCAAGTTCCTCAGTGACAATGTGCTTAATATAAATATCCTTTATATTTATATAGGATAAAGGACTCACAATGTCCTTTAGCAACTCTTATAGGCAATGGCCTTAACAATAATATTCATAATAATATTTTCCTTACAACAGTACTTAACAACCTTTGCACAGCACCCTTGGAAAAAAGCCAATTTAGCAAAACCTTTCTTGGCTACCAACCATAGCAACAATGCCCTAAGCAATAACACCTTTAGTATCATTTCCCATAGAAACAGTGGCTATAAAACAAGGCCATCAGCAACAGCATGCTTAGCAAAAATATCTTTAGAAACAATACTCTTGGCATCAACACCTTAAAAACAACCTCATTATTATAACTGCCTTTAATAAAAATGCCATGAACAACCAGGCCCTTAGCATTGGTGCAGTATCAACAGTGTCCTTAGAAACAGCACCATTAACAACAACTCTGTGAGCAGCACTATTTGCAGCAATGTCCTTATTAACAATGTATTTAGCTAGAGTACCCTTAGCAATTGGCTCTTAGCAACATCACATTTGGAAACAGTACTCATAACAGCAGCTCCCTTATCAACATCACTTGTAGCAAAATCTGTTTTATTTTCAACACTCTTACTATCAAGGCCTTTAAGAACAATGACTCTAAGAAAATAGCCCATAACAACAATTTCCTTAAATTCAACACTCTTTCCTTAGGAACAGCACCTGTAGCACCAATGATCTTAGCAACAGTAGCCTCTGCAATAGTGGCCACGGCCACAATGTTCTTAGTAACAGCACCTTTAGCAAAAACATCCAACAACAACATTAACATCAATGCCTTTGGCTGGGCACAGTGGCTCATGCCTATAATTCCAGCACTTTGAGAGGTGGGATCGGGAGGATTGCTTTAGACCAAGGGTTCAAGACCAGGTTGGGCAATGTAGTGAGATCTCATCTCTACAAAAAGAAAAATTAAAAAAATTAAAAAGCTAGCTACATGATATGGTTTGGCTGTATCCCCATCCAAATCTCATCTTGCATTGTAGCTCCCATAATTCCCACGTGTTATGGGAGGGACCCAATGGAAGGTAATTGAATCATGGGGGTGGGTCTTTCCCATGCTGTTCTCATAATAGTGAATAAGTCTCATGAAATTTGATGGTTTTATAAAGGGGAGTTTCCCTGCACAAGCTCTCTTGCCTGCTGCCAGGTAAGATGTGACTTTGCTCCTCTTTTGCCTTCCGCCATGATTGCGAGGCCTCTCCAGCCATGGGGACTGTGAGTCAATTAAATGTCTTTCCTTTAAAAATTACCCAGTTTTGGGTATGTCTGTATTAGCAACATGAGAACAGTCTAATACACTAGGCATGGTGGTGTGTGCTTGTTGTCCCAGTTGCTTTGGAGACTGAGGCAGGAGGATCACTTTGAGCACAGGAGTTCAAGCCTGCAGTGAGCTGTGATCACGCAACTGCACTCCAGCTTGGGTGACAGAGTGAGACCCTGTCTCAAAACAAAACAAAACAAAACAAAACAAAACAAAAATGCCTTTAAGAACAGCATGTTTAACGAAAGACCCTCAGCAATGACTTCCTTAGCCACAACAACCTTGGCAAAAATATTATTACTACCATTCTCTTAGCAATTAAGTCCTTAAGAATAATACTCTGAGAAAAAAAGTGCTTTTAGCAACAGTTTCCTTAGAAACACTAGTCATAGCAGTAACACCCTTAGCAAAACTTTCTTTGCACAATAACTTCAAGGCCTTAAAGAACAATGCCCTTACAAAACTTTTTTGACATCAACACCTGCCTTATACCATTTTGTGTTGCTCGAAATAAATACCTGAGGATGGGTAATTTATACAGAAAAACTATTTAGTTGGTTCTCAATTCTGATGGCTGGGAAGTTCAAGATTGGACATCTGTGTCAGGTGAGGGCCTCAGGCTGCTTCCACTCATGGCAGAAGATGAAGGGGAGCTGGTGTGTGCAGAGCTCACATGATGAGAGAGAGAGAGAAAGAGAGCAGAAAGGTCTCAGGCTCTTTTTAACGACCAGCTCTGGCAGGAACTGATAGACGACACACTCAGCCTCAAGGAAGGAGATTAATCTGTTAATACGGGATTTGGTCATATGACCCAAACACTTCCCATTAGGCCCCATCTCCAACATTGGGGATCAAATTTCAACATGAGGTTTAGAGGGGACAAACATCCAAACCATAGCAATACCCTTAAGAATAATAACCTTACCAATAGTACCCTTATCAAAAATGCCCTTAACAACAGCTTTCTTAGCAACAGTAGTTACTAACAGCACTCATAGCAAAACCTTAATCTTCAATAACACTTTTAATATCAATGCCTTTAAGAATGACAATCTTGACCAGATATGGTGACTAATGTCTGTAATCCCAGCACTTTGAAAGGTTGAGGCAGGAAGTTTGCTTGAGGCCAGCAGTTTGAGGTCAGTCTGGGCAATATAGTGAGATGCTGTCTCTACAAAAAATTTTTTAAAAAAGTCAGGTATGGTGACCTGTGCTCGTAGTCCTAGCTACTTGGGAGGCTGAGGTGAGAAAATTGCTGGAGCCCAAGAGTTTGAGGTTAGTGAACCATGATCATAACACTGCACTCCAGCTTGGGCGACAGGGCTAGACTCTGCCTGTTTTTTTTTTTTTTTTTTTTTAAAAAAAGAGGACCTTCAAAATTGCTTCCATCAACAATTACCTTTGCAAACTTTCCATCAGCAGCAATGCTCCTAGCAAGAACATCTTTTGCAACAATGCTTTTAACATATCTCATTTTGCAACATAGAAACAAACGCAGTTAGGAACAGCATCCTTAACAACAACTTTCTTTACAACGATATTAACACAAGAGTCTTGCAACACCCTTAACAACAAGTTTCCTTTGCAACAGGGCCATAACATCAACACTCTTGGTAACTGCATTGGTACCAAAACTTATCTGTGACAATATCTTGAACATTAATGCCTTTAAGAGAAATGCCCTTAAAAATACCTTTAGCAAGCATTTCCTTAGCAAACACGCTCCTAGCAACAGAGAGTAAGTTTTGTAAGGGCATGTGAATACGAAGGCAGAGACTGGAGTGATGCCAAGAAATGTGAAAGATTTCCAGGAGCCATCAGAAGCAAGGAAAAACGCATGGAAAAGATTCCGAGTGCTCAGAAGGAAGCAACCCTACCACCACCTGATTTGGACTTCTAAGCTCCAGAACTGTAAGAGAAATTTCTTTTATTTTAAGCCACCTCGTTTGTGGTACTTTGATATGGCAGCCCTAGGAAACTAATACAATTCTCTTAACAAAAAGGCAACAATTTCCTTAGCAATAATAAACTTAGAAATAATGCCTTCTCAACAATGACTTTGCCAACAGTGGCCATAGCAGCCACACCCTCAGCAAAAGCAACTTAGTGCAGATTTCTTAGCAAAGCACGCCAAAACACACTAACAAACATATTAAGAAAACACAAAACACACTAATACTAACAAAGAAAGTGCCTTTCTAAAAACTGCCTATCAACAATCTTATCAACACATTTCATAGCAAAAATTTCCTTAGCACCTTTGCCCCTAGCAATGTTGCCTTTAGCAACAGTTTTCGTGGCAGCAGTGACCATCCAACCTTGATTTAGCAAATGCATCCTTAGCAAAAACTTTCTTGCAACACCACCCTTAATACTAACACCTTTAAGAACGATGTCTTTAGCATAAGGGCCCTCCCAACAATATCATTAGCAAAAACTTGGCAAAATGTGCTTAGCAACCGCACTCTTTGAAAAAGTTCCATTAATAGCAACATACTTAATAACAATGTCTTTAGCAACAGTGGTCATAGGAATTGCTCCTTCTGCAAGAGTGGCTACTGTAATTGTGACCAGAGCAATAATGGCCATATCAGCCATGCATTTAGCTACAGTGGCAGTAACAACTATGTCCTTGGTGGCAGTATGTGTGGGGAACATTTCTTAGCAACAACACCCTTATCTAAGAGGCCCTAGGAGCAAAATCCATTGCAACACTATATGCAGCAACAATGTCCTTAATTATTAGGTTGATGCAAAGGTGATTGCGATTTTTGCCATTTCAGTGGCAAAAACCGCAATCACCTTTGTACCAACCTAATACAATTCCCTTGGCGACAATCTTAGCAACAACACCCTTGGCAACAAAGCTCTTAGCAATATCCTTAGAAACATTGTCTTTAGCAACATTTCTTAGCAATGGTGCCCATAGCAACAGTTCCCTAGTAACAGCAACCTTAGAAGAAACTCCCTTTGCAAGAGCACATTTAACATCACTGCCTTTAATGAAAA